>NC_000013.11:16164992-16228527 GCF_000001405.40 Homo sapiens
AGCTTTCTGAGCAAACTTCTTTGTGATGTGTGCATTCATCTCACAGTGTTGAAACTTTATTTTATTTGAGCAGTTTAGAGACAGACTTTTTCTGCAATCTGCAAAGGTATATTTCTGAGCCATTTGAGGTCTGTGGTGAAAAAGGAATATCTTCACATTTAAACTAGACAGAAGAATTCTGAGAAACTTCTTTATGATGTGTGCATTCATCTCAGGTAGGTGAAATTTTCTTTTGATGGAGCAGTTTGGAAACAGTCTTTTTCTAGTATCTGCAGAAGGATATTTGTGAGCGGTGTAAGGACTACGCTGAAAAAGGAAATATCTTCACATAAAAACTAGACAGAAGATTTCTGAGAAACTTTTTTGTGATGGGTGCTTTCATCTCACAGAGTTGAAAATTTCTTTTGATTGAGCAGTTTGGAAACAGTCTTTTCGTATCATCTGCAAAGGGATGTGTGGAGCGCTTTGTGGCCTAACGTGAAAATGGAAATATCTTCACATAAAATCTAGACAGAAGCATTCTGAGAAACTTCTTTGTGATGTGTTCATTCATCTCACAATGTTGAACGTTTCTTTTGATTGAGAGGTTTGTAAACACAACTTTTGTAGAATCTGCAAAGGGATATTTGTGAGCCCCTTGATTCCTATGGCAAAATAGGAATTATCTTGTCATAAAAACTAGACAGGAGAATTCTGAGAAACTTCTCTTTGATGAGTGCATTCATTTCACATAGTTGAAACATGCTATATGGGCCAGTTTGGAAACAGTCTTTTTGTAGGGTCTGCAGACAGATATTTTTGAGTGGCTTAAAGACTGTGGTGAAAAAAGAAATATCTTCACAGAGTAACCAGACAGAAGCTTTCTGAGAAACTTCTTTATGATGTGTGCTTTCGTCTCAGAGAGTTGAGCCTTTCTGTTGATTGACCAGTTTGGAAACATTCTTTCTGTAGAATCCGCAAATGGATATTTGGAGCAATTTGCGGCCTACGGTGAAGAAGGAAATATCTTCACATAAAAACTAGACAGAAGCATTTTGAGAAACTTCTTTTTGATGTGTGTATTCATCTCACAGAGTTGAACGTTTCTTTTGATTTAGCGATTTGGAGAAAGTCTCTTGGTAGTATAAGCGGAGTTATGTTTGTGAGTGGTTTAAGGCCTACGGTGCCAAAGGAAATACCTTCACATAAAATGTAGACAGAAGCATTTTGAGAGAACTCCTTGTGACATTTCCATTCATCTCTAATAGTTGACCATTTCTTCTCATTGAGCAGTTTGGAAACAGTCTTTTCCTACAAACTGCAAAGGGATATTTCTGAGCCGTTTGGGGCCAATGGTGAAAAATAAATATCTTCACATGAAAACTAGGCAGAAGCTTTCTGAGAAACTCCTTTGTGGTGTGCACGTTTGTATCACAGAGTTGAACCTTTCATTTGATTGAGCAGTTTGGAAACAGTCTTTTTGTAGAATCTGCAAATGTATATTTGGAGTGTTTTAAGGCCTATAGTGAAAAAGGAAATATCTTCACATAAAAACTACACAGTAGCTTTCTGAGAAACTTCTTTGTGATGTGTCCCTTCATCGCACAGAGTGAAACCTGTCTTTTGATTTAGGAGTTTGAAAAATGTCTTTTCTTAGAATCTGCAAAGGGATATTTGTGAGCCCTTTATGGCCTTTGT
Organism: Homo sapiens; assembly: GCF_000001405.40. Taxonomy (NCBI): domain Eukaryota; kingdom Metazoa; phylum Chordata; class Mammalia; order Primates; family Hominidae; genus Homo; species Homo sapiens. The sequence continues at coordinate 16,166,670 of NC_000013.11, forward strand.
TGAAATATGAAATATCTTCACGTAAAAAGTAGAGAGAAAGATTTCTGAAAAACCTCTTTGTGATGTGTGAATTCATGTCACAGAATTCAACCTTCCTTTCAGTTGAGCAGTTTGGAACCAGTCTTTTGTAGAAGCTGCAGAGGGAAATTTCTTAGCTGCTTGAGGCCTATGGTGAACAAGAAATAGCCTCACATAAAAACTAGACAGAAGATTTCTGAGAAACTTCTTTGTGATGTGTGCCTTCAACTCACTGTGTTGAAACTTTCTTTTGATTGAGCAGTTTGGGAAGTCTTTCTGTAGAATCTGCAAATGGATATTTGGAGATATTTGAGGCCCTTGGTGAAAAAGGAAGTATCTTCACATAAAAACTAGACAGAATCATTCCAAGAAATTTCCTGCGATGTGTCCATTCACGTCACAGAGTTGAACCTTTCTTTTGATTGAGCAGTTTGGAAACAGTCTTTTTGTAGAACCTGCAAAGGGATATTTGTGAGCCCCTTATGGCCTGTGGTGAAATACGAAATATCTTCACATAAAAACTAGACAGGAGCTTTCTGAGAAACTCCCTTGCGATGTGTGTATTCACCTCACCGAGTGGAAACTTTCTTTTGATTGAGCAGATTGGAAAGAGACTTATCGTACAATCTGCAAAGGGAGAATTCTGATCCGTTTGAGGCTAATGGTGAAAGAGAAACATCTTCCCATAAAAACTAGACGGAAGCTTTCTAAGAAACTTCGGTGTGATGTGTGTTTTCATCTCACGGAATTGAAACTTTCTTTTGATTGAGGAGTTTGGAAACACTCTTTTTCTAGAATCTGCAAATGGATATTTGGAGAGCTCCTGAGGCCCATGTTGAAAAACGAAACATCTTCACGTAAAAACTAAACAGAAGCATTCTGAGGAACTTCTTTGTGATGTGTGCATTCATCTCACATAGTTGAAACTTTCTTTGGATTGAGCAGTTTTGAAACAGTCTTTTTGTAGAATCTGCCAAGGGATATTTCTGAGCCCATTGAGTACTATGATGCACTGTGAAGTATCTTCACATAAAAACTAGACAGAAGTTTTCTGAGAAACTACTTTTCGATGTGTCCATTAATCAAACAGAGTTAAAACTTTCTTTTTATTGAGCAGTTTGGATACAGTCTTTCTTTAGAATCTGCAAAAAATATTTGCGAGCCCTTTATTGCCTATGGTGAAATAGGAATCTTCTTCACATATAAACTGGACAGAAGCTTTCTGAGAAACTCCTTTGAGATGTGTGTTTTCACCTCACTGAGTTAAACACTTTCTTTTGATTGAGCTGTTTGGAAACACTCTTTTTGTGAAATCTGTAAATGGATATTAGGAGTGCTTTGAGGCCAATGGTGACAAAGGAAATATCTTCACATAAAAACTAAACAGAAGAATTCTGAGAAACTTCATTCTGACGTGGGCATTAACCTCAGAGAATTTAACCTTTCTTTTGATTGAGAAGTATGGAAACGGTCGTCTTTTAAAATCTGGAATGGGATATTTCTTAGCCCTTTGAGGCCTACGGTGAAACTGGAAATATCTTCACATGAAAAGTAGACCGAAGCATTCCGAGGAACTTCTTTGTGATGTCTCTATTCATCTGACAGATTTGAAGGTTTCTTTTAATTCAGCACTTTGGAAAGCATATTTTTGTAGAATCTGCAAAGGGATATTTTTGAGACCTTTGAAGCCTATAGTGAAATAGTAAATATCTTCACATAGAAACTAGACAGGAGCTTTCTGAGAAACTTCTTTGTGATGTGTGCATTCATCTCACAGTGTTGAAACTTTATTTTATTTGAGCAGTTTAGAGACAGTCTCTTTCTACAATCTGCAAAGGTATATTTCTGAGCCATTTGAGGTCTGTGGTGAAAAAGGATTATCTTCACATTTAAACTAGACAGAAGAATTCTGAGAAACTTTTTTAAGATGTGTGCATTCAGCTCAGGTAGGTGAAATTTTCTTTTGAGGGAGCAGTTTGGAAACAGTCTTTTTCTAGTATCTGCAGAAGGATATTTGTGAGCGGTGTAAGGACTATGGTGAAAAAGGAAATATCTTCACATAAAAACTAGACAGAAGATATCTGAGAAACTTTTTTGTGATGGGTGCTTTCATCTCACAGAGTTGAAAATTTCTTTTGATTGAGCAGTTTGGAAACAGTCTTTTCGTATCATCTGCAAAGGGATGTTTGGAGCGCTTTGTGGCCTAAGGTGAAAATGGAAATATCCTCACATAAAATTCTAGACAGAAGCATTCTGAGAAACTTCTTTGTGATGTGTTCATTCACCTCACAATGTTGAACGTTTCTTTTGATTGAGAGGTTTGTAAACAGAACTTTTGTAGAATCTGCAAAGGGATATTTGTGAGCCCCTTGATTCCTATGGCAAAATAGGAATTCTCTTTAGATAAAAACTAGACAGAAGAATTCTGAGAAACTTCTCTTTGATGAGTGCATTCATTTCACATTGTTGAAACATGCTATATGGGCCATTTTGGAAACAGTCTTTTTGTAGTGTCTGCAGACAGATATTTTTGAGTGGCTTAAAGACTGTGGTGAAAAAAGAAATATCTTCACAGAGTAACCAGACAGAAGCTTTCTGAGAAACTTCTTTGTGATGTGTGCTTTCGTCTCACAGAGTTGAGCCTTTCTGTTGATTGACCAGTTTGGAAACATTCTTTCTGTAGAATCCGCAAATGGATATTTGGAACAATTTGCGGCCTACGGTGAAGAAGGAAATATCTTCACATAAAAACTAGACAGAAGCATTTTGAGAAACTTCTTTGTGATGTGTGCATTCTTCTCAAAGAGTTGAAACTTTCTTTTGATTTAGCAATTTGGAGAAAGTCTCTTGGTAGTATAAGTGGAGTTATATTTGTGAGCGGTTTAAGGCCTATGGTGCAAAAGGAAATACTTTCACATGAAATGTAGACAGAAGCTTTATGTGAAAACTCTTTGTGACATTTCCATTCATCTCTAATAGTTGACCATTTCTTTTCATTGAGCAGTTTGGAAACAGTCTTTTCCTACAAACTGCAAAGGGATATTTCTGAGCCGTTTGGGGCCAATGGTGAAAAATAAATATCTTCCCATGAAAACTAGACAGAAGCTTTCTGACAAATTTCTTGGTGATGTGCACGTTTGTCACACGGAATTGAACCCTTCTTCTGATTGAGCAGTTTGGAATCAGTCTTTTTGTAGAATCTGTGAATGTGTATTTAGAGAGTTTTAAGGCCTAGGGTGCAAAAGGCAATGTCTTCACATAAAAACGACACAGTAGCTTTCTGAGAAACTTCTTTGTGATGTGTCCATTCATCGCACAGAGTGAAACCTTTCTTATGATTGAGGAGTTTGGAAAATGTCTTTCCTTAGAATCTGCAAAGGGATATTTGTGAGCCCTTTATGGCCTTTGTTGAAATATGAAATATCTTCACATAAAAAGTAGACAGAAGATTTCTGAAAAACCTCTCTGTGATGTGTGAATTCATGTCACAGAATTCAACCTTCCTTTCAGTTGAGCAGTTTGGAACCAGTCTTTTGTAGAAGCTGCAGAGGGAAATTTCTTAGCTGCTCGAGGCCTATGGTGAACAAGAAATAGCCTCACATAAAAAGTAGACAGAAGTATTTTGAGAAACTTCTTTGTGATGTGTGCTTTCATTTCACAGAGTTGAATCTTTCTTTTGATTGAGCAGCTTGGAAACAGTCTTTTTGTACAAGCTGCAAAGGGATATTTCTGAGCCATTTGAGGCTTATGGTGAAAACGAAATATCTGCACATAAAAACCTGACAGAATCATTCCAAGAAATTGTTTGTGATGTGTCCATTCACGTCACAGAGTTGAACCTTTCTTTTGATTGAGCAGTTTGGCAACAGACTTTTTGTGGAACCTGCAAAGGGATATTTGTGAGCCCCTTATGGCCTGTGGTGAAATACGAAATATCTTCACATAAAAACTAGACAGGAGCTTTCTGAGAAACTCCCTTGTGATGTGTGCATTCACCTCACAGAGTTGAAACTTTCTTTTGATTGAGCAGATTGGAAAGAGGCTTATTGTACAATCTGCAAAGGGAGAATTCTGATCCTTTTGAGGCTTCTGGTGAAAGAGAAACATCTTCCCATAAAAACTAGACGGAAGCTTTCTAAGAAACTTCGGTGTGATGTGTGCTTTCATCTCACAGAATTGAAACTTTCTTTTGATTGAGGAGTTTGGAAACACTCTTTTTCTAGAATCTGCAAATGGATATTTGGAGAGCTTTTGAGGCCCATGTTGAAAAACGAAACATCTTCACGTAAAAACGAAACAGAAGCAGTCTGAGAAACTTCTTTGTGATGTATGCATTCATCTCACATAGTTGAAACTGTCTTTGGATTGAGCAGTTTGGAAACAGTCCTCTTGTAGAATCTGCAAAGGGATATTTCTGAGCCCATTGAGTACTATGGTGCAATGTGAAATATCTTCACATAAAAACTAGACAGAAGTTTTCTGAGAAACTACTTTTCGATGTGTCCATTAATCAAACAGAGTTAAAACTTTCTTTTTATTGAGCAGTTTGGATACAGTCTTTCTGTAGAATCTGCAAAAAATATTTGCGAGCCCTTTATTGCCTATGGTGAAATAGGAATCTTCTTCACATATAAACTGGACAGAAGCTTTCTGAGAAACTTCATTGAGATGTGTGCTTTCACCTCACAGAGTTAAACACTTTCTTTTGATTGAGCTGTTTGGAAACACTCTTTTCGTGAAATCTGTAAATGGATATTAGGAGTGCTTTGAGGCCAATGGTGGCAAAGGAAATATCTTCTCATAAAAACTAAAGAGAAGAATTCTGAGAAACTTCATTCTGATGTGTGCATTCACCTCACAGAATTTAAGCTTTCTTTTGATTGAGCAGTATGGAAATGGTTGTCTTTTAGAATCTGGAAAGGGATATTTCTTAGCCCTTTGAGGCCTACGGTGAAACTGGAAATATCTTTACATGAAAACTAGACCAAAGCATTCTGAGGAACTTCTTTGTGATGTCTTCATTCATCTGACAGAGTTGAAGGTTTCTTTTAATTCACACTTTTGAAACCATATTTTTGTAGAATCTGCAAAGGGATATTTTTGAGACATTTGAAGCTTATAGTGACATAGTAAATATTGTCACATAAAAACTAGACAGGAGCTCTCTGAGAAACTTCTTTGTGATGTGTGCATTCATCTCACAGTGTTGAAACTTTATTTTATTTGAGCAGTTTAGAGACAGTCTTTTTCTGCAATCTGCAAAGGCATATTTCTGAGCCATTTGAGGTCTGTGGTGAAAGAGAAATATCTTCACATTTAAACTAGACAGAAGAATTCTGAGAAACTTCTTTGTGATGAGTCTATTCATCTCACAGAGTTGAAACATTCTTTGATGGACCAGTTTGGAAACAGTCTTTTTATAGTATCTGCAGAGGGATATTTTTGAGCGGTTTAAAGACTATGGTGAAAAAGGAAATATCTTCACATAATAACTAGACAGAAGATTTCTGAGAAACTTTTCTGTGATGTGTGCTTTCATCTCACAGAGTTGAAAATTTCTTTTGATTGAGCAGTTTGGAAACAGTCTTTTCGTATCATCTGCAAAGGGATGTTTGGAGCGCTTTGTGGCCTGAGGTGAAAATGCAAATATCTTCACATAAAATCTAGACAGAAGCATTCTGAGAAACTTCTTTGTGATGTGTTCATTCATCTCACAATGTTGAACGTTTCTTTTGATTGAGAGGTTTGTAAACAGAACTTTTGTAGAATCTGCAAAGGGATATTTGTGAGCCCCTTGATTCCTATGGCAAAATAGTAATTATCTTGAGATAAAAACTAGACAGGAGAATTCTTAGAAACTTCTCTTTGATGAGTGCATTCATTTCACATAGTTGAAACATGCTATATGGGCCAGTTTGGAAACAGTCTTTTTGTAGTGTCTGCAGACAGATATTTTTGAGTGGCTTAAAGACTGTGGTGAAAAAAGAAATATCTTAACAGAATAACCAGACAGAAGCTTTCTGAGAAACTTCTTTGTGATGTGTGCTTTCGTCTCACAGAGTTGAGCCTTTCTGTTGATTGACCAGTTTGGAAACATTATTTCTGTAGAATCCGCAAATGGATATTTGGAGCAATTTGCGGCCTATGGTGAAGAAGGAAATATCTTCACATAAAAACTAGACAGAAGCATTTTGAGAAACTTCTTTTTGATGTGTGTATTCATCTCACAGAGTTGAACGTTTCTTTTGATTTTGCAATTTGGAGAAAGTCTCTTGGTAGTATAAGCAGAGTTATGTTTGTGAGTGGTTTAAGGCCTACGGTGCCAAAGGAAATACCTTCACATAAAATGTAGACAGAAGCTTTTTGAGAAAACTCTTTGTGACATTTCCATTCATCTCTAATAGTTGACCATTTCTTTTCATTGAGCAGTTTGGAAACAGTCTTTTCCTACAAACTGCAAAGGGATATTTCTGAGCCGTTTGGGGTCAATGGTGAAAAATAAATATCTTCACATGAAAACTAGACAGAAGCTTTCTGACAAATTTCTTTGTGATGTGCACGTTTGTCACACGGAATTGAACCTTTCTTCTGATTGAGCAGTTTGGAATCCGTCTTTTTGTAGAATCTGTGAATGTATATTTAGAGAGTTTTAAGGCCTAGAGTGAAAAAGGAAACGTCTTCACATAAAAACGACACAGTAGCTTTCTAAGAAACTTCTTTGTGATGTGTCCATTCATCTCACAGAGTTAAACCTTTCTTTTGATTGAGGAGTTTGGAAAATGTCTTCTCTTAGAATCTGCAAAGGGATATTTGTGAGCCCTTTATGGCCTATGTTGAAATATGAAATATCTTCACATAAAAACTAGACAGAAGATTTCTGAAAAACTTCTTTGTGATGTGTGAATTCATGTCACAGAATTCAACCTTTCTTTCGATTGAGCAGTTTGGAAACAGTCTTTTGTAGAAGCTGCAAAGGGAAATTTCTTAGCCGTTTGAGGCCTATAGTGAAAAAGAAATATCTTCACATAAAAACTAGACAGAAGATTTCTGAGAAACTTCTTTGTGATGTGTGCCTTCATCTCACTGTGTTGAACCTTTCTTTTGATTGAGCAGTTTGGGAAGTCTTTCTGTAGAATCTGCAAATGGATATTTGGAGATATTTGAGGCCCTTGGTGATAAAGGAAGTATCTTCACATAAAAACTAGACAGAATCATTCCGAGAAATTTTTTGTGATGTGTCCATTCACGTCACAGAGTTGAACCTTTCCTTTGATTGAGCAGTTTAGAAACAGTCTTTGTGTAGAACCTGCAAACAGATATTTGTGAGCCCCTTATGGCCTGTGGTGAAATATGAAATATCTTCACATAAAAACTAGACAGGAGCTTTCTGAGAAACTCCCTTGTGATGTGTGCATTCACCTCACAGAGTTGAAACTTTCTTTTGATTGAGCAGATTGGAAAGAGGCTTATTGTACAATCTGCAAAGGGAGAATTCTGATCCGTTTGAGGCTAATGGTGAAAGAGAAACATACTTCCCATAAAAACTAGACGGAACGCTTTCTAAGAAACTTCGTTGTGATGTGTGCTTTCGTCTCACAGAATTGAAACTATCCTTTGATTGAGGAGTTTGGAAACACTCTTTTTCTAGAATATGCAAATGGATATTTGGAGAGCTTTTGAGGCCCGTGGTGAAAAACGAAATATCTTCACGTAAAAACTAAACAGAAGCATTCTGAGGAACTTCTTTGTGATGTGTGCATTCATCTCACATAGTTGAAACTTTCTTTGGATTGAGCAGTTTTGAAACAGTCCTTTTGTAGAATCTGCCAAGGGATATTTCTGAGCCCATTGAGCACTATGATGCACTGTGAAGTATCTTCACATAAAAACTAGACAGAAGTTTCCTGAGAAACTACTCTTTGATGTGTCCATTAATCTAACAGAGTTGAAACTTTCTTTTTATTGAGCAGTTTGGATACGGTCTTTTTGTAGAATCTGCAAAAAATATTTGTGAGCCCTTTATTGCCTATGGTGAAGTAGGAATTTTCTTCACATATAAACTAGACAGAAGCTTTCTGAGAAACTTCTTTGAGATGTGTGCTTTCACCTCACAGAGTTAAACACTTTCTTTTGATTGAGCTGTTTGGAAACACTCTTTTTGTGAAATCTGTAAATGGATATTAGGAGGGCTTTGAGGCCAATTGTGACAAAGGAAATATCTTCACGTAAAAACTAAACAGAAGAATTCTGAAAACTTTCATTCTGACGTGGGCATTAACCTCAGAGAATTTAACTTTCTTTTGATTGAGAAATATGGAAACGGTCGTCTTTTAGAATCTGGAAAGGGATATTTCTTAGCCCTTTGAGGCATATGGTGAAACTGGAAATATCTTCACATGAAAAGTAGACCGAAGCATTCTGAGGAACTTCTTTGTGAGGTCTCCATTCATCTGACAGAGTTGAAAGTTTCTTTTAATTCAGCACTTTGGAAACCATATTTTTGTAGAATCTGCAAAGGGATATTTTTGAGACATTTGAAGCCTATAGTGAAATAGTAAATATCTTCACATAAAAACTAGACAGGAGCTTTCTGAGAAACTTCTTTGTGATGTGGTGCATTCATCTCACAGTGTTGAAACTTTATTTTGTTTGAGCAGTTCAGAAACAGTCTTTTTCTGCAATCTGCAAAGGTATATTTCTGAGACATTTGAGGTCTATGGTGAAAAAGAGATATCTTCACATTTTAACTAGACAGAAGAATTCTGAGAAACTTCTTTATGATGTGTGCATTCATCTCAGGTAGGCGAAATTTTCTTTTGATGGAGCAGTTTGGAAACAGTCTTTTTCTAGTATCTGCAGAAGGATATTTGTGAGCGGTGTAAGGACTATGGTGAAAAAGGAAATATCTTCACATAAAAACTAGACAGAAGATTTCTGAGAAACTTTTTTGTGATGGTTGCTTTCATCTCACAGAGTTGAAAATTTCTTTTGATTGAGCAGTTTGGAAACAGTCTTTTCGTATCATCTGCAAAGGGATGTGTGGAGCGCTCTGTGGCCTAAGGTGAAAATGGAAATATCTTCACATAAAATCTAGACAGAAGCATTCTGAGAAACTTCTTTGTGATGTGTTCATTCATCTCACAATGTTGAAGGTTTCTTTTGATTGAGAGGTTTGTAAACAGAACTTTTGTAGAATCCGCAAAGGGATATTTGTGAGCCCCTTGATTCCTATGGCAAAATAGGAATAATCTTGAGATAAAAACTAGACAGAAGCTTTCTGAGAAACTTCTTTGTGATGTGTGCATTCATCACACAGTGTTGAAACTTTATTTTGTTTGAGCAGTTTAGAAACAGTCTTTTACTGCAATCTGCAAAGGTATATTTCTGAGCCATTTGAGGTCTATGGTGAAAAAGAAATATCTTCACATTGAAACTAGACAGAAGCTTTCTGAGAAACTTTGTAATGTGTGTTTTTGTCTCACAGATTTGAGCCTTTCTTTTGATTGACCAGTTTGGAAACATTCTTTTTGTAGAATCTGCAAATGGATATTTGGAACAATTTGAGACCTATGGTGAAAAAGGAAATATCTTCACATAAAAACTAGACAGAAGCATTTTGAGAAACTTCTTTGTGATGTGTGCATTCTTCTCACAGAGTTGAACCTTTCTTTGGATTTAGCAATTTGGAGAAAGTCTCTTGGTAGTACAAGTGGAGTTATATTTGTGAGCGATTTAAGGCCTATGGTGCAAAAGGAAACACCTTCACATAAAAAGTAGACAGAAGCTTTTTGAGGAAACTCTTTGTGACATTTCCATTCATCTCTAATAGTTGACCATTTCTTTTCATTGAGCAGTTTGGAAACAGTCTTTTCCTACAAACTGCAAAGGGATATTTCTGAGTCGTTTGGGGCCAATGGTGAAAAATAAATATCTTCACATGAAAACTAGACAGAAGCTTTCTGACAAATTTCTTTGTGATGTGCACCGTTTGTCACACGGAGTTGAACCTTTCTTCTGATTGAGCAGTTTGGAATCAGTCTTTTTGTAGAATCTGTGAATGTATATTTAGAGAGTTTTAAGGCCTAGAGTGAAAAAGGAAACGTCTTCACATAAAAACGACACAGTAGCTTTCTAAGAAACTTCCTTGTGATGTGTCCATTCATCTCACAGAGATAAACCTTTCTTTTGATCAAGGAGTTTGGGAAATGTCTTTTCTTAGAATCTGCAAAGGGATATTTGTGAGCCCTTTATGGCCTATGTTGAAATATGAAATATCTTCACATAAAAACTAGACAGAAGATTTCTGAAAAACCTCTTTGTGATGTGTGAATTCATGTCACAGAATTCAACCTTCCTTTCAGTTGAGCAGTTTGGCACCAGTCTTTTGTAGAACCTGCAGAGGGAAATTTCTTAGCTGCTTGAGGCCTATGGTGAACAAGAAATAGCCTCACATAAAAAGTAGACAGAAGATTTCTGAGAAACTTCTTTGTGATGTTTGCTTTCGTCTCACAGTGTTGAACCTTTCTTTTGATTGAGCAGTTTGGAAAGTCTTTTTGTAGAATCTGCAAATGGATATTTGGAGCTATTTGAGGCCCATGGTGAAAAAGGAAGTATCTTCACATAAAAACTAGACAGAATCATTCCGAGAAATTTTTTGTGATGTGTCCATTCACGTCACAGAGTTGAACCTTTCTTTTGATTGAGCAGTTTGGAAACAGTCTTTTTGTAGAACCTGCAAAGGGATATTTGTGAGCCCCTTATGGCCTGTGGTGAAATACGAAATATATTCACATAAAAACTAGACAGGAGCTTTCTGAGAAACTCCCTTGTGATGTGTGCATTCACCTGACAGAGTTGAAACTTTCTTTTGAATGAGCAGATTGGAAAGAGGCTTATTGTACAATCTGCAAAGGGAGAATTCTGATCCGTTTGAGGCTTCTGGTGAAAGAGAAACATCTTCCCACAAAATCTAGACGGAAGCTTTCTAAGAAACTTCGTTGTGATGTGTGCTTTCATCTCACAGAATTGAAACTTTCTTTTGATTGAGGAGTTTGGAAACCCTCTTTTTCTAGAATCTGCAAATGGATAATTGGAGAGCTTTTGAGGCCCATGTTGAAAAACGAAACATCTTCACGTAAAAACTAAACAGAAGCATTCTGAGAAACTTCTTTGTGATGTGTGCATTAATCTCACAGAGTTGAAACTTTCTTTGGATTGAGCAGTTTGGAAACAGTCTTTTTGTAGAATCTGCAAAGGGATATTTCTGAGTCCATTGAGTACTATGGAGAAATGTGAAATATCTTCACATAAAAACTAGACAGAAGTTTTCTGAGAAACTACTCTTTTATGTGTCCATTAATCTAACAGAGTTGAAACTTTCTTTTTATTGAGCAGTTTGGATACGGTCTTTTTGTAGAATCTGCAAAAAATATTTGTGAGCCCTTTATTGCCTATGGTGAAGTAGGAATTTTCTTCACATATAAACTAGACAGAAGCTTTCTGAGAAACTTCTTGGAGATGTGTGCTTTCACCTCACAGAGTTAAACACTTTCTTTTGATTGAGCTGTTTGGAAACACTCTTTTTGTGAAATCTGTAAATGGATATTAGGAGTGCTTCGAGGCCAATGGTGACAAAGGAAATATCTTCACATAAAAACTAAACAGAAGAATTCTGAGAAACTTCATTCTGACGTGGGCATTAAACTCAGAGAATTTAACCTTTCTTTTGATTGAGAAGTATGGAAACGGTCGTCTTTTAGAATCTGGAAAGGGATATTTCTTAGCCCTTTGAGGCCTACGGTGAAACTGGAAATATCTTCACATGAAAAGTAGACCGAAGAATACTGAGTAACTTCTTTGTGATGTCTCCATTCATCTGACAGAGTTGAAGGTTTCTTTTAATTCAGCACTGTGGAAACCGTATTTTTGTAGAATCTGCAAAGGGATATTTTTGAGACCTTTGAAGCCTATAGTGAAATAGTAAATATCTTCACATAGAAACTAGACAGGAGATTTCTGAGAAACTTCTTTGTGATGTGTGCATTCATCTCACAGTGTTGAAACTTTATTTTGTTTGAGCAGTTTAGAAACAGTCTTTTCCTGCATTCTGCAAAGGTGTATTTCTGAGCCATTTGAGGTCTATGTGAAAAAGAAATATCTTCACATTTAAACTAGACAGAAGAATTCTGAGAAACTTCTTTGTGATGTGTGCATTCATCTCAGAGAGGTGAACTTTTCTTTTGATGGAGCAGTTTGGAAACAGTATTTTTTTAGTATCTGCAGAAGGATATTTGTGAGCAGTTTAAGGCCTATGGTGAAAAAGGAAATATCTTCACATAAAAACTAGACAGGAGATTTCTGAGAAACTTTTTTGTGATGAGTGCTTTCATCTCACAGAGTTGAAAATTTCTTTTGATTGAGCAGTTTGGAAACAGTCTTTTCGTATCATCTGCAAAGGGATGTTTGGAGCGCTTTGTGGCCTAAGGTGAAAATGGAAATATCTTCACATAAAATCTAGACAGAAGCATTCCGAGAAACTTCTTTGTGATGTGTGCATTCATCTCACAATGTTGAACGTTTCTTTTGATTGAGCAGTTTGGAAACAGAACTTTTGTAGAATCTGCAAAGGGATATTTGTGAGCCCATTGATTCCTATGGCAAAATAGGAATTATCTTGAGATAAAAACTAGACAGAAGAATTCGGAGAAACTTCTCTTTGATGAGTGCATTCATTTCACATAGTTGAAACATGCTATATGGGCCAGTTTGAAAACAGACTTTTTGTAGTGTCTGCAGACAGATATTTTTGAGTGGCTTAAAGACTGTGGTGAAAAAAGAAATATCTTCACAGAGTAACCAGACAGAGGCTTTCCGAGAAACTTCTTTGTGATGTGTGCTTTCGTCTCACAGAGTTGCGCCTTTCTTTTGATTGACCAGTTTGGGAACATTCTTTTTGTAGAATCTGCAAATGGATATTTGGAGCAATTTGTGGCCTACGGTGAAAAAGGAAATATCTTCACAGAAAAACTAGACAGGAGCATTTTGAGAAACTTCTTTTTGATGTGTGTATTCTTCTCACAGAGTTGAACGTTTCTTTTGATTTAGCAATTTGGAGAAAGTCTCTTGGTAGTATAAGCGGAGTTATGTTTGTGAGTGGTTTAAGGCCTACGGTGCCAAAGGAAATACCTTCACATAAAATGTAGACAGAAGCTTTTTGAGAAAACTCTTTGTGACATTTCCATTCATCTCTAATAGTTGACCATTTCTTTTCATTGAGCAGTTTGGAAACAGTCTTTTCCTACAAACTGCAAAGGGATATTTCTGAGCCGTTTGGGGCCAATGGTGAAAAATAACCATCTTCACATGAAAACTAGACATAAGGTTTCTGACAAATTTCTTTGTGATGTGCACGTTTGTCACACGGAATTGAACCTTTCTTCTGATTGAGCAGTTTGGAATCAGTCTTTTTGTAGAATCTGTGAATGCATATTTAGAGAGTTTTAAGGCCTAGAGTGAAAATGGAAACGTCTTCACATAAAAACGACACAGTAGCTTTCTGAGAAACTTCTTTGTGATGTGTCCATTCATCGCACAGAGTGGAACCTTTCTTTTGATTGAGGAGTTTGGAAAATGTCTTTTCTTAGAATCTGCAAAGGGATATTTGTGAGCCCTTTATGGCCTTTGTTGAAATATGAAATATCTTCACATAAAAAGTAGACAGAAGATTTCTGAAAAACCTCTTTGTGATGTGTGAATTCATGTCACAGAATTCAACCTTCCTTTCAGTTGAGCAGTTTGGAACCAGTCTTTTGTAGAAGCTGCAGAGGAAATTTCTTAGCTGCTTGAGGCCTATGGTGAACAAGAAATAGCCTCACATAAAAACTAGACAGAAGATTTCTGAGAAACTTCTTTGTGATGTGTGCCTTCATCTCACTGTGTTGAACCTTTCTTTTGATTGAGCAGTTTGGGAAGTCTTTCTGTAGAATCTGCAAATGGATATTTGGAGATATTTGAGGCCCTTGGTGAAAAAGGAAGTATCTTCCCACAAAAACTAGACAGAATCATTCCAAGAAATTTTCTGTGATGTGTCCATTCACGTCACAGAGTTGAACCTTTCTTTTGATTGAGCAGTTTGGAAACAGTCTTTTTGTAGAACCTGCAAAGGGATATTTGTGAGCCCCTTATGGCCTGTGGTGAAATACGAAATATCTTCACATAAAAACTAGACAGGAGCTTTCTGAGAAACTCCCTTGTGATGTGTGCATTCACCTCAGAGAGTTGAAACTTTCTTTTGATTGAGCAGATTGGAAAGAGGCTTATTGTACAAACTGCAAAGGGAGAATTCTGATCCGTTTGAGGCTTATGGTGAAAGAGAAACATCTTCCCATAAAAACTAGACGGAAGCTTTCTAAGAAACTTCTTTGTGATGTGTGCTTTCATCTCACAGAATTGAAACTTTCTTTTGATTGAGGAGTTTGGAAACACTCTTTTTCTAGAATCTGCAAATGGATATTTGGAGAGCTTTTGAGGCCCATGGTGAAAAACGAAATATCTTCACATAAAAACTAAACAGAAGCATTCTGAGGAACTTCTTTGTGATGTGTGCATTCATCTCACATAGTTGAAACTTTCTTTGAATTGAGCAGTTTTGAAACACTCCTTTTGTAGAATCTGCCAAGGGATATTTCTGAGCCCATTGAGTACTATGATGCACTGTGAAGTATCTTCACATAAAAACTAGACAGAAGTTTTCTGAAAAACTACTTTTCGATGTGTCCATTAATCAAACAGAGTTAAAACTTTCTTTTTATTGAGCAGTTTGGATACAGTCTTTTTGTAGAATCTGCAAAAAATATTTGCGAGCCCTTTATTGCCTATGGTGAAATAGGAATCTTCTTCACATATAAACTAGACAGAAGCTTACTGAGAAACTTCTTTGAGATGTGTGCTTTCACCTCACAGAGTTAAACACTTTCTTTTGATTGAGCTGTTTGGAAACACTCTTTTTGTGAAATCTGTAAATGGATATTAGGAGTGCTTTGAGGCCAATTGTGACAAAGGAAATATCTTCACATAAAAACTAAACAGAAGAATTCTGAGAAACTTCATTCTGATGTGTGCATTAACCTCACAGAATGTAACCTTTCTTTTGATTGAGAAGTATGGAAACGGTCGTCTTTTAGAATCTGGAAAGGGATATTTCTTAGCCCTTTGAGGCCTACGGTGAAACTGGAAATATCTTCACATGAAAAGTAGACCGAAGCATTCTGAGGAACCTCTTTGTGATGTCTCCATTCATTTGACAGAGTTGAATGCTTCTTTTAATTCAGAAGTTCGGCAACCATATTTTTGTAGAATCTGCAAAGGGATATTTGTGAGACATTTGAAGCCTATAGTGAAATAGTAAATATCTTCACATAAAAACTAGACAGAAGCTTTCTGAGCAACTTCTTTGTGATGTGTGCATTCATCTCACAGTGTTGAAACTTTATTTTATTTGAGCAGTTTAGAGACAGTCTATTTCTGCAATCTGCAAAGGCATATTTCTGAGCCATTTGAGGTCTGTGGTGAAAGAGAAATATCTTCACATTTAAACTAGACAGAAGAAGTCTGAGAAAATTCTTTGTGATGTGTGCATTCACCTCAGAGAGGTGAACTTTTCTTTTGATGGAGCAGTTTGGAAACAGTCTTTTTATAGTATCTG
The DNA here is from genome assembly GCF_000001405.40 of Homo sapiens. Taxonomy (NCBI): domain Eukaryota; kingdom Metazoa; phylum Chordata; class Mammalia; order Primates; family Hominidae; genus Homo; species Homo sapiens. Next base: position 16,182,391 of record NC_000013.11, read on the forward strand.
CAGAAGGATATTTGTGAGCAGTTTAAGGCCTGTGGTGAAAAAGGAAATATCTTCACATAAAAACTAGACAGAAGATTTCTGAGAAACTTTTTTGTGATGGGTGCTTTCATCTCACAGAGTTGAAAATTTCTTTTGATTGAGCAGTTTGGAAACAGTCTTTTCGTATCATCTGCAAAGGGATGTGTGGAGCGCTTTGTGGCCTAAGGTGAAAATGGAAATATCTTCACATAAAATCTAGACAGAAGCATTCTGAGAAACTTCTTTGTGATGTGTTCATTCATCTCACAATGTTGAACGTTTCTTTTGATTGAGAGGTTTGTAAACAGAACTTTTGTAGAATCTGCAAAGGGATATTTGTGAGCCCCTTGATTCCTATGGCAAAATAGGAATTCTCTTGAGATAAAAACTAGACAGAAGAATTCGGAGAAACTTCTCTTTGATGAGTGCATTCATTTCACATAGTTGAAACATGCTATATGGGCCAGTTTGGAAACAGTCTTTTTGTAGTGTCTGCAGACAGATATTTTTGAGTGGCTTAAAGACTGTGGTGAAAAAAGAAATATCTTCACAGAGTAACCAGACAGAAGCTTTCTGAGAAACTACTTTGTGATGTGTGCTTTCGTCTCACAGAGTTGAGCCTTTCTGTTGATTGACCAGTTTGGAAACATTCTTTCTGTAGAATCCGCAAATGGATATTTGGAGCAATTTGCGGCCTACGGTGAAGAAGGAAATATCTTCACATAAAAACTAGACAGAAGCATTTTGAGAAACTTCTTTTTGATGTGTGTATTCATCTCACAGAGTTGAACGTTTCTTTTGATTTAGCAATTTGGAGAAAGTCTCTTGGTAGTATAAGCGGAGTTATGTTTGTGAGTGGTTTAAGGCCTACGGTGCCAAAGGAAATACCTTCACATAAAATGCAGACAGAAGGTTTTTGAGAAAACTCTTTGTGACATTTCCATTCATCTCTAATAGTTGACCATTTCTTCTCATTGAGCAGTTTGGAAACAGTCTTTTCCTACAAACTGCAAAGGGACATTTCTGAGCCGTTTGGGGCCAATGGTGAAAAATAAATATCTTCACATGAAAACTAGACAGAAGGTTTCTGACAAATTTCTTTCTGATGTGCACGTTTGTCACACGGAACTGAACCTTTCTTCTGATTGAGCAGTTTGGAATCAGTCTTTTTGTAGAATCTGTGAATGCATATTTAGAGAGTTTTAAGGCCTAGAGTGAAAATGGAAACGTCTTCACATAAAAACGACACAGTAGCTTTCTAAGAAACTTCTTTGTGATGTGTCCATTCACCTCACAGAGTTAAACCTTTCTTTTGATTGAGGAGTTTGGAAAATGTCTTTTCTTAGAATCTACAAAGGGATATTTGTGAGCCCTTTATGGCCTATGTTGAAATATGAAATATCTTCACATAAAAAATAGACAGAAGATTTCTGAGAAACTTCTTTGTGATGTGTGAATTCATGTCACAGAATTCAACCTTTCTTTCGATTGAGCAGTTTGGAAACAGTCTTTTGTAGAAGGTGCAAAGGGAAATTTCTTAGCTGATTCAGGCCTATGGTGAAAAAGAAATAACTTCACATAAAAACCAGACAGAAGATTTCTGAGAAACTTCTTTGTGATGTGTGTCTTCATCTCCCTGTGTTGAACCTTTCTTTTGATTGAGCAGTTTGGGAAGTCTTTGTGTAGAATCTGCAAATGGATATTTGGAGATATTTGAGGCCCTTGGTGAAAAAGCAAGTATCTTCACATAAAAACTAGACAGAATCATTCCAAGAAATTGTTTGTGATGTGTCCATTCACGTCACAGAGTTGAACCTTTCTTTTGATTGAGCAGTTTGGAAACACTCTTTTTGTAGAACCTGCAAAGGGATTTTTGTGAGCGCCTTATGGCCTGTGGTGAAATACGAAATATCTTCACATAAAAACTAGACAGGAGCTTTCTGAGAAACTCCCTTGTGATGTGTGCATTCACCTCACAGAGTTGAAACTTTCTTTTGATTGAGCAGATTGGAAAGAGGCTTATTGTACAATCTGCAAAGGGAGAATTCTGATGCGTTTGAGGCTTATGGTGAAAGAGAAACATATTCCCATAAAAACTAGACGGAAGCTTTCTAAGAAACTTCGGTGTGATGTGTGTTTTCATCTCACGGAATTGAAACTTTCTTTTGATTGAGGAGTTTGGAAACACTCTTTTTCTAGAATCTGCAAATGGATATTTGGAGAGCTTCTGAGGCCCATGTTGAAAAACGAAACATCTACACGTAAAAACTAAACAGAAGCATTCTGAGGAACTTCTTTGTGATGTGTGCATTCATCACACATAGTTGAAACTTTCTTTGGATTGAGCAGTTTTGAAACAGTCCTTTTGTAGAATCTGCCAAGGGATATTTCTGAGCCCATTGAGTACTATGATGCACTGTGAAGTATCTTCACATAAAAACTAGACAGAAGTTTTCTGAGAAACTACTTTTCGATGTGTCCGTTAATCTAACAGAGTTAAAACTTTCTTTTTATTGAGCAGTTTGGACACAGTCTTTTTGTAGAATCTGCAAAACATATTTGTGAGCCCTTTATTGCCTATGGTGAAATAGGAATCTTCTTCACATATAAACTAGACAGAAGCTTTCTGAGAAACTTCATTGAGATGTGTGCTTTCACCTCACAGAGTTAAACACTTTCTTTTGATTGAGCTGTTTGGAAACACTCTTTTTGTGAAATCTGTAAATGGATATTAGGAGTGCTTTGAGGCCAATGGTGACAAAGGAAATATCTTCTCATAAAAACTAAACAGAAGAATTCTGAGAAACTTCATTCTGATGTGCGCATTAACCTCAGAGAATTTAACCTTTCTTTTGATTGACAAGTATGGAAACGGTCGTCTTTTAGAATCTGGAAAGGGATATTTCTTAGCCCTTTGAGGCCTACGGTGAAACTGGAAATATCTTCACAGGAAAAGTAGACCGAAGAATTCTGAGGAACTTCTTTGTGATGTCTCCATTCATCTGACAGAGTTGAAGGTTTCTTTTAATTCAGCACTTTGGAAACCATATTTTTGTAGAATCTGCAAAGGGATATTTTTGAGACATTTGAAGCCTATAGTGAAATAGTAAATATCTTCACATAAAAACTAGACAGGAGCTTTCTGAGAAACTTCTTTGTGATGTGTGCATTCATCTCACAGTGTTGAAACTTTATTTTATTTGAGCAGTTTGGAGACAGTCTTTTTCTGCAATCTGCAAAGGCATATTTCTGAGCCATTTGAGGTCTGTGGTGAAAGAGAAATATCTTCACATTTAAACTAGACAGAAGGATTCTGAGAAACTTCTTTATGATGTGTGCATTCATCTCAGGTAGGTGAAATTTTCTTTTGATGGAGCAGTTTGGAAACAGTCTTTTTCTAGTATCTGCAGAAGGATATTTGTGAGCGGTGTGAGGACTATGCTGAAAAAGGAAATATCTTCACATAAAAACTAGACAGAAGATTTCTGAGAAACTTTTTTGTGATGTGTGCTCTCATCTCACAGAGTTGAAAATTTCTTTTGATTGAGCAGTTTGGAAACAGTCCTTTCGTATCATCTGCAAACGGATGTTTGGAGCGCTTTGTGGCCTAAGGTGAAAATGGAAACATCTTCACATAAAAACTAGACAGAAGCATTCTGAGAAACTTCTTTGTGATGTGTGCATTCATCTTACAATGTTGAACGTTTCTTTTGATTGAGCAGTTTGGAAACAGAACTTTTGTAGAATCTGCAAAGGGATATTTGTGAGCCCATTGATTCCTATGGTGAAATAGGAATTATCTTGAAATAAAAAAAAGGCAGAAGAATTCGGAGAAACTTCTCTTTGATGAGTGCATTCAATTCACATAGTTGTAACATGCTATATGGGCCAGTTTGGAAACAGTCTTTTTGTAGTGTCTGCAGACAGATATTTTTGAGTGGCTTAAAGCCTGTGGTGAAAAAAGAAATATCTTCACAGAGTAACCAGACAGAAGCTTTCTGAGAAACTCCTTTGTGATGTGTGCTTTCGTCTCACAGAGTTGAGCCTTTCTGTTGATTGACCAGTTTGGAAACATTCTTTCTGTAGAATCCGCAAATGGATATTTGGAGCAATTTGCGGCCTACTGTGAAGAAGGAAATATCTTCACATAAAAACTAGACAGAAGCATTTTGAGAAACTTCTTTTTGATGTGTGTATTCATCTCACAGAGTTGAACGTTTCTTTTGATTTAGCAATTTGGAGAAAGTCTCTTGGTAGTATAAGCGGAGTTATGTTTGTGAGTGGTTTAAGGCCTACGGTGCCAAAGGAAATACCTTCACATAAAATGTAGACAGAAGCTTTTTGAGAAAACTCTTTGTGACATTTCCATTCATCGCTAATAGTTGACCATTTCTTTTCATTGAGCAGTTTGGAAACAGTCTTTTCCTACAAACTGCAAAGGGATATTTCTGAGCCGTTTGGGGCCAATGGTGAAAAATAAATATCTTCACATGAAAACTAGACAGAAGCTTTCTGAGAAACTCCTCTGTGTTGTGCACGTTTGTATCACAGAGTTGAACCTTTCATTTGATTGAGCAGTTTGGAAACAGTCTTTTTGTAGAATCTGCAAATGTATATTTGGAGTGTTTTAAGGCCTATAGTGAAAAAGGAAATATCTTCACATAAAAACTACACAGTAGCTTTCTGAGAAACTTCTTTGTGATGTGTCCATTCATTGCACAGAGTGAAACCTTTCTTTTGATTGAGGAGTTTGGAAAATGTCTTTTCTTAGAATCTGCAAAGGGATATTCGTGAGCCCTTTATGGCCTTTGTTGAAATATGAAATATCTTCACATAAAAAGTAGACAGAAGATTTCTGAAAAACCTCTTTGTGATGTGTGAATTCATGTCACAGAATTCAACCTTCCTTTCAGTTGAGCAGTTTGGAACCAGTCTTTTGTAGAAGCTGCAGAGGGAAATTTCTTAGCTGCTCGAGGCCTATGGTGAACAAGAAATAGCCTCACATAAAAAGTAGACAGAAGATTTCTGAGAAACTTCTTTGTGATGTGTGCCTTCATCTCACTGTGTTGAACCTTTCTTTTGATTGAGCAGTTTGGGAAGTCTTTCTGTAGAATCTGCAAATGGATATTTGGGGATATTTGAGGCCCTTGGTGAAAAAGGAAGTATCTTCACATAAAAACTAGACAGAATCATTCCAAGAAATTTTCTGCGATGTGTCCATTCACGTCACAGAGTTGAACCTTTCTTTTGATTGAGCAGTTTGGAAACAGTCTTTTTGTAGAACCTGCAAAGGGATATTTGTGAGCCCCTTATGGCCTGTGGTGAAATACGAAATATCTTCACATAAAAACTAGACAGGAGGTTTCTGAGAAACTCTCTTGTGATGTGTGCATTCACCTCACAGAGTTGAAACTTTCTTTTGATTGAGCAGATTGGAAAGAGTCTTATTGTACAATCTGCAAAGGGAGAATTCTGATCCGTTTGAGGCTTATGGTGAAAGAGAAACATATTCCCATAAAAACTAGACGGAAGCTTTCTAAGAAACTTCGTTGTGATGTGTGCTTTCATCTCACGGAATTGAAACTTTCTTTGCATTGAGGAGTTTGGAAACACTCTTTTTCTAGAATCTGCAAATGGATATTTGGAGAGCTTCTGAGGCCCATGTTGAAAAACGAAACATCTTCACGTAAAAACTAAACAGAAGCATTCTGAGGAACTTCTTTGTGATGTGTGCATTCATCTCACATAGTTGAAACTTTCTTTGTATTGAGCAGTTTTGAAACAGTCCTTTTGTAGAATCTGCCAAGGGATATTTCTGAGCCCATTGAGTACTATGATGCACTGTGAAGTATCTTCACATAAAAACTAGACAGAAGATTTCTGAGAAACTACCTTTCGATGTGTCCATTAATCTAACAGAGTTAAAACTTTCTTTTCATTGAGCAGTTTGGATACAGTCTTTTTGTAGAATCTGCAAAAAATATTTGCGAGCCCTTTATTGCCTATGGTGAAATAGGAATCTTCTTCACATATAAACTAGACAGAAGCTTTCTGAGAAACTTCTTGGAGATGTGTGCTTTCACCTCACAGAGTTAAACACTTTCTTTTGATTGAGCTGTTTGGAAACACTCTTTTTGTGAAATCTGTAAATGGATATTAGCAGGGCTTTGAGGCCAATGGTGACAAAGGAAATATCTTCACATAAAAACTAAACAGAAGAATTCTGAGAAACTTCATTCTGACGTGGGCATTAACCTCAGAGAATTTAACCTTTCTTTTGATTGAGAAGTATGGAAACGGTCGTCTTTTAGAATCTGGAAAGGGATATTTCTTAGCCCTTTGAGGCCTCCGGTGAAACTGGAAATATCTTCACATGAAAAGTAGACCGAAGCATTCTGAGGAACTTCTTTGTGATGTCTCCATTCATCTGACAGAGTTGAAAGTTTCTTTTAATTCAGCACTTTGGAAACCATATTTTTGTAGAATCTGCAAAGGGATATTTTTGAGACATTTGAAGCCTATAGTGAAATACTAAATATCTTCACATAAAAACTAGACAGGAGCTTTCTGAGAAACTTCTTTGTGATGTGCGCATTCATCTCACAGTGTTGAGACTTTATTTTATTTGAGCAGTTTAGAGACAGTCTTTTTTTGCAATCTGCAAAGGTATATTTCTGAGCCATTTGAGGTCTATGGTGAAAAAGAAATATCTTCACATTGAAACTAGACAGAAGAATTCTGAGAAACTTCTTTCTGATGTGTGCATTCACCTCAGAGAGGTGAACTTTTCTTTTGATGGAGCAGTTTGGAAACAGTCTTTTTATAGTATCTGCAGAAGGATATTTGTGAGCGGTTTAAGGCCTATGGTGGAAAAGGAAATATCTTCACATAAAAACTAGACAGAAGATTTCTGAGAAACTTTTTTGTGATGTGTGCTTTCATCTCACAGAGTTGAAAATTTCTTTTGATTGAGCAGTTTGGAAACAGTCTTTTCATATAATCTGCAAATGGATATTTGGAGCACTTTGTGGCCTAAGTTGAAAATGGAAATATCTTCACATAAAAACTAGACAGAAGTATTCTGAGAAACTTCTTTGTGATGTGTTCATTCATCTCACAATGTTGAACGTTTCTTTTGATTGAGAGGTTTGTAAACACAACTTTTGTAGAATCTGCAAAGGGATATTTGTGAGCCCCTTGATTCCTATGGCAAAATAGGAATTATCTTGAGATAAAAACTAGACAGAAGAATCCTGAGAAACTTCTTTTTGATGAGTGCATTCATTTCACATAGTTGAAACATGCTATATGGGCCAGTTTGGAAACAGTCTTTTTGCAGAGTCTGCAGTCAGGTATTTTAGAGTGGCTTAAAGACTATGGTGAAAAAGGAAACATCTTCACATAGCAACCAGACAGAAGCTGTCTGAGAAACTTCTTTGTGATGTGTGCTTTCGTCTCACAGAGTTGAGCCTTTCTGTTGATTGACCAGTTTGGAAACATTCTTTCTGTAGAATCCGTAAATGGATATTTGGAGCAATTTGTGGCCTACGGTGAAGAAGGAAATATCTTCACATAAAAACTAGACAGAAGCATTTTGAGAAACTTATTTTTGATGTGTGTATTCATCTCACAGAGTTCAACGTTTCTTTTGATTTAGCAATTTGGAGAAAGTCTCTTGGTAGTATAAGCGGAGTTATGTTTGTGAGTGGTTTAAGGCCTACGGTGCCAAAGGAAATACCTTCACATAAAATGTAGACAGAAGCTTTTTGAGAAAACTCTTTGTGACATGTCCATTCATCTCTAATAGTTGACCATTTCTTCTCATTGAGCAGTTTGGAAACAGTCTTTTCCTACAAACTGCAAAGGGATATTTCTGAGCCGTTTGGGGCCAATGGTGAAAAATAAATATCTTCACATGAAAACTAGACAGAAGCTTTCTGACAAATTTCTTTGTGATGTGCACGTTTGTCACACGGAATTGAACATTTCTTCTGATTGCGCAGTTTGGAATCAGTCTTTTTGTAGAATCTATGAATGTATATTTAGAGAGTTTTAAGGCCTAGAGTGAAAAAGGAAACGTCTTCACATAAAAACGACGCAGTAGCTTTCTAAGAAACTTCTTTGTGATGTGTCCATTCATCTCACAGAGTTAAACCTTTCTTTTGATTGAGGAGTTTGGAAAATGTCTTTTCTTAGAATCTACAAAGGGATATTTGTGAGCCCTTTATGGCCTATGTTGAAATATGAAATATCTTCACATAAAAACTAGACAGAAGATTTCTGAGAAACCTCTTTGTGATGTGTGAATTCATGTCACAGATTTCAACCTTCCTTTCAGTTGAGCAGTTTGGAACCAGTCTTTTGTAGAAGCTGCAGAGGGAAATTTCTTAGCTGCTTGAGGCCTATGGTGAACAAGAAATAGCCTCACATAAAAAGTAGACAGAAGATTTCTGAGAAACTTCTTTGTGATGTGTGCCTTCATCTCACTGTGTTGAACCTTTCTTTTGATTGAGCAGTTTGGGAAGTCTTTCTGTAGAATCTGCAAATTGATATTTGGAGATATTTGAGGCCCTTGGTGAAAAAGGAAGTATCTTCACATAAAAACTAGACAGAATCATTCCAAGAAATTTTTTGTGATGTGTCCATTCACGTCACAGAGTTGAACCTTTCTTTTGATTGAGCAGTTTGGAAACAGTCTTTTTGTAGAACCTGCAAAGGGATATTTGTGAGCCCCTTATGGCCTGTGGTGAAATACGAAATATCTTCACATAAAAACTAGACAGGAGCTTTCTGAGAAACTCCCTTGTGATGTGTGCATTCACCTCACAGAGTTGAAACTTTCTTTTGATTGAACAGATTGGAAAGAGGCTTATTGTACAATCTGCAAAGGGAGAATTCTGATCCGTTTGAGGCTTCTGGTGAAAGTGAAATATCTTCCCATAAAAACTAGACGGAAGCTTTCTAAGAAACTTCGGTGTGATGTGTGCTTTCATCTCACGGAATTGAAACTTTCTTTTGATTGAGGAGTTTGGAAACACTCTTTTTCTAGAATCTGCAAATGGATATTTGGAGAGCTCCTGAGGCCCATGTTGAAAAACGAAACATCTTCACGTAAAAACTAAACAGAAGCATTCTGAGGAACTTCTTTGTGATGTGTGCATTCATCTCACATAGTTGAAACTTTCTTTGGATTGAGCAGTTTTGAAACAGTCCTATTGTAGAATCTGCCAAGGGATATTTCTGAGCCCATTGAGTACTATGCTGCAATGTGAAGTATCTTCACATAAAAACTAGACAGAAGTTTTCTGAGAAACTACTTTTCGATGTGTCCGTTAATCTAACAGAGTTAAAACTTTCTTTTTTTTGAGCAGTTTGGACACAGTCTTTTTGTAGAATCTGCAAAAAATATTTGTGAGCCCTTTATTGCCTATGGTGAAATAGGAATCTTCTTCACATATAAACTAGACAGAAGCTTTCTGAGAAACTTCATTGAGATGTGTGCTTTCACCTCACAGAGTTAAACACTTTCTTTTGATTGAGCTGTTTGGAAACACTCTTTTTGTGAAACTGTAAATGGATATTAGGAGTGCTTTGAGGCCAGTGGTGAAAAAGGAAATATCTTCTCATAAAAACTAAAGAGAAGAATTCTGAGAAACTTCATTCTGACGTGGGCATTAACCTCAGAGAATTTAACCATTCTTTTGATTGAGAAGTATGGAAACGGTCGTCTTTTAGAATCTGCAAAGGGATATTTCTTAGCCCTTTGAGGCCTACGGTGAAACTGGAAATATCTTCACATGAAAAGTAGACCGAAGCATTCCGAGGAACTTCTTTGTGATGTCTCCATTCATCTGACAGAGTTGAAGGTTTCTTTTAATTCAGCACTGTGGAAACCGTATTTTTGTAGAATCTGCAAAGGGATATTTTTGAGACCTTTGAAGCCTATAGTGAAATAGTAAATATCTTCACATAGAAACTAGACAGGAGCTTTCTGAGAAACTTCTTTGTGATGTGTGCATTCATCTCACAGTGTTGAAACTTTATTTTATTTGAGCAGTTTAGAGACAGTCTTTTTCTGCAATCTGCAATGGCATATTTCTGAGCCATTTGAGGTCTGTGGTGAAAGAGAAATATCTTCACATTTAAACTAGACAGAAGAATTCTGAGAAACTTCTTTGTGATGAGTCCATTCATCTCACAGAGTTGAAACATTCTTTGATGGACCAGTTTGGAAACAGTCTTTTTGTAGTATCTGCAGAAGGATATTTTTGAGTGGTTTAAAGACTATGGTGAAAAAGAAAATATCTTCACATAATAACTAGACAGAAGATATCTGAGAAACTTTTTTGTGATGGGTGCTTTCATCTCACAGAGTTGTAAATTTCTTTTGATTGAGCAGTTTGGAAACAGTCTTTTCGTATCATCTGCAAAGGGATGTTTGGAGCGCTTTGTGGCCTAAGGTGAAAATGGAAATATCCTCACATAAAATCTAGACAGAAGCATTCTGAGAAACTTCTTTGTGATGTGTTCATTCATCTCACAATGTTGAACGTTTCTTTTGATTGAGAGGTTTGTAAACAGAACTTTTGTAGAATCCGCAAAGGGATATTTGTGAGCCCCTTGATTCTTATGGCAAAATAGGAATAATCTTGAGATAAAAACTAGACAGAAGAATTCTAAGAAACTTCTCTTTGATGAGTGCATTCCTTTCACATAGTTGAAACATGCTATATGGGCCAGTTTGGAAACAGTCTTTTTGTAGTGTCTGCAGACAGATATTTTTGAGTGGCTTAAAGACTGTGGTGAAAAAAGAAATATCTTCACAGAGTAACCAGACAGAAGCTTTCTGAGAAACTTCTTTGTGATGTGTGCTTTCGTCTCACAGAGTTGAGCCTTTCTGTTGATTGACCAGTTTGGAAACATTCTTTTTGTAGAATCCGCAAATGGATATCTGGAACAATTTGCGGCCTACGGTGAAGAAGGAAATATCTTCACATAAAAACTAGACAGAAGCATTTTGAGAAACTTCTTTTTGATGTGTGTATTCATCTCACAGAGTTGAACGTTTCTTTTGATTTAGCAATTTGGAGAAAGTCTCTTGGTAGTATAAGCGGAGTTATGTTTGTGAGTGGTTTATGGCCTACGGTGCCAAAGGAAATACCTTCACAAAAAATGTAGACAGAAGCTTTTTGAGAAAACTCTTTGTGACATTTCCATTCATCTCTAATAGTTGACCATTTCTTCTCATTGAGCAGTTTGGAAACAGTCTTTTCCTACAAACTGCAAAGGGATATTTCTGAGCCGTTTGGGGCCAATGGTGAAAAATAAATATCTTCACATGAAAACTAGACAGAAGCTTTCTGACAAATTTCTTTGTGATGTGCACGTTTGTCACACGGAATTGAACCTTTCTTCTGATTGAGCAGTTTGGAATCAGTCTTTTTGTAGAATCTGTGAATGTATATTTAGAGAGTTTTAAGGCCTAGAGTGAAAAAGGAAACGGTCTTCACATAAAAACGACACAGTAGCTTTCTGAGAAACTTCTTTGTGATGTGTCCATTCATCGCACAGAGTGGAACCTTTCTTTTGATTGAGGATTTTGGAAAATGTCATTTCTTAGAATCTGCAAAGGGATATTTGTGAGCCCTTTATGGCCTTTGTTGAAATATGAAATATCTTCACATAAAAAGTAGACAGAAGATTTCTGAGAAACCTCTTTGTGATGTGTGAATTCATGTCACAGAATTCAACCTTCCTTTCAGTTGAGCAGTTTGGAACCAGTCTTTTGTAGAAGCTGCAGAGGGAAATTTCTTAGCTGCTTGAGGCCTATGGTGAACAAGAAATAGCCTCACATAAAAAGTAGACAGAAGATTTCTGAAAAACTTCTTTGTGATGTGTGAATTCATGTCACAGAGTTGAAGCTTTCTTGTGATTGAGTAGTTTGGAAACACTCTTTTTGTAGAATCTGCAAAGGGTTATTTATGAGCGGTTTGAGGCCTATGGTGAAAAAGGGAGTATCAGCAAATAAAAACTAGACAGAATCATTCCGAGAAATTTTTTGTGATGTGTCCATTCACGTCACAGAGTTGAACCTTTCTTTTGATTGAGCAGTTTGGAAACAGTCTTTTTGTAGAACCTGCAAAGGGATATTTGTGAGCCCCTTATGGCCTGTGGTGAAATACGAAGTATCTTCACACAAAAACTAGACAGGAGCTTTCTGAGAAACTCCCTTGTGATGTGTGCATTCACCTCACAGAGTTGAAACTTTCTTTTGATTGAGCAGATTGGAAAGAGGCTTATTGTACAATCTGCAAAGGGAGAATTCTGATCCGTTTGAGGCTAATGGTGAAAGAGAAACATCTTCCCATAAAAACTAGACGGAAGCTTTCTAAGAAACTTCGGAGTGATGTGTGCTTTCATCTCACACAATTGAAACTTTCTTTTGACTGAGGAGTTTGGAAACACTCTTTTTCTAGAATCTGCAAGTGGATATTTGGAGAGCTTTTGAGGCCCATGTTGAAAAACGAAACATCTTCATGTAAAAACTAAACAGAAGCACTCTGAGAAACTTCTTTGTGATGTGTGCATTCATCTCACATAGTTGAAACTGTCTTTGGATTGAGTAGTTTGGAAACAGTCCTCTTGTAGAATCTGCAAAGGGATATTTCTGAGCCCATTGAGTACTATGGTGCAATGTGAAATATCTTCACATAAAAACTAGACAGAAGTTTTCTGAGAAATTACCTTTCAATGTGTCCATTAGTCAAACAGAGTTAAAACTTTGTTTTTATTGAGCAGTTTGGATACAGTCTTTTTGTAGAATCTGCAAAAAATATTTGCGAGCCCTTTATTGCCTATGGTGAAATAGGAATCTTCTTCACATATAAACTAGACAGAAGCTTTCTGAGAAACTCCATTGAGATGTGTGCTTTCACCTCACAGAGTTAAACACTTTCTTTTGATTGAGCTGTTTGGAAACACTCTTTTTGTGAAATCTGTAAATGGATATTAGGAGTGCTTTGAGGCCAATGGTGGAAAAGGAAATATCTTCTCATAAAAACTAAACAGAAGAATTCTGAGAAACTTCATTCTGACGTGGGCATTAACCTCAGAGAATTTAACCTTTCTTTGGATTGAGAAGTATGGAAACGGTCGTCTTTTAGAATCTGGAAAGGGATATTTCTTAGCCCTTTGAGGCCTACGGTGAAACTGGAAATATCTTCACATGAAAAGTAGACCGAAGCATTCCGAGGAACTTCTTTGTGATGTCTCTGTTCATCTGACAGAGTTGAAGGTTTCTTTTAATTCAGCACTGTGGAAACCGTATTTTTGTAGAATCTGCAAAGGGATATTTTTGAGACCTTTGAAGCCTATATTGAAATAGTAAATATCTTCACATAGAAACTAGACAGGAGCTTTCTGAGAAACTTCTTTGTGATGTGTGCATTCATCTCACAGTGTTGAAACTTTATTTTATTTGAGCAGTTTAGAGACAGTCTTTTTCTGCAAACTGCAAAGGCATATTTCTGAGCCATTTGAGGTCTGCGGTGAAAGAGAAATATCTTCACATTTAAACTAGACAGAAGAATTCTGAGAAACTTCTTTATGATGTGTGCATTCATCTCAGGTAGGTGAAATTTTCTTTTGATGGAGCAGTTTGGAAACAGTCTTTTTCTAGTATCTGCAGAAGGATATTTGTGAGCGGTGTAAGGACTACGCTGAAAAAGGAAATATCTTCACAAAAAAACTAGACAGAAGATTTCTGAGAAACTTTTTTGTGATGGGTGCTTTCATCTCACAGAGTTGAAAATTTCTTTTGATTGAGCAGTTTGGACACAGTCTTTTCGTATCATCTGCAAAGGGATGTTTGGAGCGCTTTGTGGCCTAAGGTGAAAATGGAAATATCTTCACATAAAATCTAGACAGAAGCATTCTGAGAAACTTCTTTGTGATGTGTTCATTCGTCTCACAATGTTGAACGTTTCTTTTGATTGAGAGGTTTGTAAACAGAACTTTTGTAGGATATGCAAAGGGATATTTGTGAGCCCCTTGATTCCTATGGCAAAATAGGAATTATCTTGAGATAAAAACTAGACAGAAGAATTCTGAGGAACTTCTCTTTGATGAGTGCATTCATTTCACATAGTTGAAACATGCTATATGGGCCAGTTTGGAAACAGTCTTTTTGTAGTGTCTGCAGACAGATATTTTTGAGTGGCTTAAAGACTGTGGTGAAAAAAGAAATATCTTCACAGAGTAACCAGACAGAAGCTTTCTGAGAAACTTCTTTGTGATGTGTGCTTTCGTCTCACAGAGTTGAGCCTTTCTGTTGATTGACCAGTTTGAAACATTCTTTCTGTAGAATCCGCAAATGGATATTTGGAGCAATTTGCGGCCTACGGTGAAGAAGGAAATATCTTCACATAAAAACTAGACAGAAGCATTTTGAGAAACTTCTTTTTGATGTGTGTATTCATCTCACAGAGTTGAACATTTCTTTTGATTTAGCAATTTGGAGAAAGTCTCTTGGTAGTATAAGCGGAGTTATGTTTGTGAGTGGTTTAAGGCCTACGGTGCCAAAGGAAATACCTTCACATAAAATGCAGACAGAAGCTTTTTGAGAAAACTCTTTGTGACATTTCCATTCATCTCTAATAGTTGACCATTTCTTTTCATTGAGCAGTTTGGAAACAGTCTTTTCCTACAAACTGCAAAGGGATATTTCTGAGCCGTTTGGGGCCAATGGTGAAAAATAAATATCTTCACATGAAAACTAGACAGAAGCTTTCTGACAAATTTCTTTGTGATGTGCACGTTTGTCACACGGAATTGAACCTTTCTTCTGATTGAGCAGTTTGGAATCAGTCTTTTTGTAGAATCTGTGAATGTATATTTAGAGAGTTTTAAGGCCTAGAGTGAAAAAGGAAACGTCTTCACATAAAAACGACACAGTAGCTTTCTGAGAAACTTCTTTGTGATGTGTCCATTCATCGCACAGAGTGAAACCTTTCTTTTGATTGAGGAGCTTGGAAAATGTCTTTTCTTAGAATCTGCAAAGGGATATCTGTGAGCCCTTTATGGCCTTTGTTGAAATATGAAATATCTTCACATAAAAAGTAGACAGAAGATTTCTGAAAAACCTCTTTGTGATGTGTGAATTCATGTCACAGAATTCAACCTTTCTTTCAGTTGAGCAGTTTGGAACCAGTCTTTTGTAGAAGCTGCAGAGGGAAATTTCTTAGCTGCTTGAGGCCTATGGTGAACAAGAAATAGCCTCACATAAAAACTAGACAGAAGATTTCTGAGAAACTTCTTTGTGATGTGTGCCTTCATCTCACTGTGTTGAACCTTTCTTTTGTTTGAGCAGTTTGGGAAGTCTTTCTGTAGAATCTGCAAATGGATATTTGGAGATATTTGAGGCCCTTGGTGAAAAAGGAAGTATCTTCACATAAAACTAGACAGAATTATTCCGAGAAATTTTTTGTGATGTGTCCATTCACGTCACAGAGTTGAACTTTCTTTTGATTGAGCAGTTTGGAAACAGTCTTTGTATAGAACCTGCAAAGGGATATTTGTGAGCCCCTTATGGCCTGTGGTGAAATACGAAATATCTTCACACAAAAACTAGACAGGAGCTTTCTGAGAAACTCCCTTGTGATGTGTGCATTCACCTCACAGAGTTGAAACTTTCTTTTGATTGAGCAGATTGGAAAGAGGCTTATTGTACAAACTGCAAAGGGAGAATTCTGATCCGTTTGAGGCTTATGGTGAAAGAGAAACATCTTCCCATAAAAACTAGACGGAAGCTTTCTAAGAAACTTCGTTGTGATGTGTGCTTTCATCTCACAGAATTGAAACTTTCTTTTGATTGAGGAGTTTGGAAACACTCTTTTTCTAGAATCTGCAAATGGATATTTGGAGAGCTTTTGAGGCCCATGTTGAAAAACGAAACATCTTCACGTAAAAACTAAACAGAAGAATTCTGAGAGACTTCTTTGTAATGTGTGTATTTATCTTACAGTGTTAAACCTTTATTTTGATTGAGCTTTTTGGAAACACTCTTTTTGTAGCATCTGCAAGAGTTTATTTTTGAGCTCATTGAGACCTATTTTGAAATATGAAATATCTTCACATAAAAACTAGATAGAAGTTTTCTGAGAAACTACTTTTCGATGTGTCCATTAATCAAACAGAGTTAAAACTTTCTTTTTATTGAGCAGTTTGGATACAGTCTATTTGTAGAATCTGCAAAAAATATTTGCGAGCCCTTTATTGCCTATGGTGAAATAGGAATCTTCTTCACATATAAACCAGACAGAAGCTTTCTGAGAAACTCCATTGAGATGTGTGCTTTCACCTCACAGGAGTTAAACACTTTCTTTTGATTGAGCTGTTTGGAAACACTCTTTTTGTGAAATCTGTAAATGGATATTAGGAGTGCTTTGAGGCCAATGGTGGAAAAGGAAATATCTTCTCATAAAAACTAAACAGAAGAATTCTGAGAAACTTCATTCTGACGTGGGCATTAACCTCAGAGAATTTAACCTTTCTTTTGATTGAAAAGTATGGAAACGGTCGTCTTTTAGAATCTGGAAAGGGATATTTCTTAGCCCTTTGAGGCCTACGGTGAAACTGGAAATATCTTCACATGAAAAGTAGACCGAAGCATTCCGAGGAACTTCTTTGTGATGTCTCCATTCATCTGACAGAGTTGAAGGTTTCTTTTAATTCAGCACTGTGGAAACCGTATTTTTGTAGAATCTGCAAAGGGATATTTTTGGGACCTTTGAAGCCTATAGTGAAATAGTAAATATCTTCACATTGAAACTAGACAGGAGCTTTCTGAGAAACTTCTTTGTGATGTGCGCATTCATCTAACAGTGTTGAAACTTTATTTTGTTTGAGCAGTTTAGAAACAGTCTTTTTCTGCAATCTGCAAAGGCATATTTCTGAGCCATTTGAGGTCTATGGTGAAAAAAGAAATATCTTCACATTTAAAATAGACAGAAGAATTCTGAGAAACTTCTTTATGATGTGTGCATTCATCTCAGGTAGGCGAAATTTTCTTTTGATGGAGCAGTTTGGAAACAGTCTTTTTCTAGTATCTGCAGAAGGATATTTGTGAGCGGTGTAAGGACTATGGTGAAAAAGGGAATATCTTCACATAAAAACTAGACAGAAGATTTCTGAGAAACTTCTTTGTGATGTGTGCTTTCATCTCACAGAGTTGAAAATTTCTTTTGATTGAGCAGTTTGGAAACAGTCTTTTTGTATAATCTGCAAATGGATATTTGGAGCACTTTGTGGCCTAAGGTGAAAATGGAAATATCTTCACATAAAAACTAGACAGAAGCATTCTGAGAAACTTCTTTGTGATGTGTTCATTCATCTCACAATGTTGAACGTTTCTTTTGATTGAGAGGTTTGTAAACAGAACTTTTGTAGAATCTGCAAAGGGATATTTTTGAGCCCCGTGATTCCTATGGCAAAATAGGAATTATCTTGAGATAAAAACTAGACAGAAGAATTCTGAGAAACTTCTCTTTGATGAGTGCATTCCTTTCACATAGTTGAAACATGCTATATGGGCCAGTTTGGAAACAGTCTTTTTGTAGTGTCTGCAGACAGATATTTTTGAGTGGCTTAAAGACTGTGGTGAAAAAAGAAATATCTTCACAGAGTAACCAGACAGAAGCTTTCTGAGAAACTTCTTTGTGATGTGTGCTTTCGTCTCACAGAGTTGAGCCTTTCTGTTGATTGACCAGTTTGGAAACATTCTTTCTGTAGAATCCGCAAATGGATATTTGGAGCAATTTGCGGCCTACGGTGAAGAAGGAAATATCTTCAGATAAAAACTAGACAGAAGCATTTTGAGAAACTTCTTTTTGATGTGTGTATTCATCTCTCAGAGTTGAACGTTTCTTTTGATTTAGCAATTTGGAGAAAGTCTCTTGGTAGTATAAGCGGAGTTATGTTTGTGAGTGGTTTAAGGCCTACGGTGCCAAAGGAAATACCTTCACATAAAATGCAGACAGAAGCTTTTTGAGAAAACTCTTTGTGACATTTCCATTCATCTCTAATAGTTGAAAATTTCTTCTCATTGAGCAGTTTGGAAACAGTCTTTTCCTACAAACTGCAAAGGGATATTTCTGAGCCGTTTGGGGCCAATGGTGAAAAATAAATATCTTCACATGAAAACTAGACAGAAGCTTTCTGACAAATTTCTTTGTGATGTGCACGTTTGTCACACGAAATTGAACCTTTCTTCTGATTGAGCAGTTTGGAATCAGTCTTTTTGTAGAATCTGTGAATGTATATTTAGAGAGTTTTAAGGCCTAGAGTGAAAAAGGAAACGTCTTCACATAAAAACGACACAGTAGCTTTCTGAGAAACTTCTTTGTGATGTGTCCATTCATCGCACAGAGTGAAACCTTTCTTTTGATTGAGGAGTTTGGAAAATGTCTTTTCTTAGAATCTGCAAAGGGATATTTGTGAGCCCTTTATGGCCTTTGTTGAAATATGAAATATCTTCACGTAAAAAGTAGACAGAAGATTTCTGAGAAATCTCTTTGTGATGTGTGAATTCATGTCACAGAATTCAACCTTCCTTTCAGTTGAGCAGTTTGGAACCAGTCTTTTGTAGAAGCTGCAGAGGGAAATTTCTTAGCTGCTTGAGGCCTAAGGTGAACCAGAAATAGCCTCACATAAAAAGTAGACAGAAGATTTCTGAGAAACTTCTTTGTGATGTGTGCCTTCATCTCACTGTGTTGAACCTTTCTTTTGATTGAGCAGTTTGGGAAGTCTTTCTGTAGAATCTGTAAATGGATATTTGGAGATATTTGAGGCCCGTGGTGAAAAAGGAAGTATCTTCACATAAAAACTAGACAGAATCATTCCAAGAAATTGTTTGTGATGTGTCCATTCACGTCACAGAGTTGAACCTTTCTTTTGATTGAGCAGTTTGGCAACAGTCTTTTTGTGGAACCTGCAAAGGGATATTTGTGAGCCCCTTATGGCCTGTGGTGGAATACGAAATATCTTCACATAAAAACTAGACAGGAGCTTTCTGAGAAACTCCCTTTTGATGTGTGCATTCACCTCACAGAGTTGAAACTTTCTTTTGATTGAGGAGATTGGAAAGAGGCTTATTGTACAATCTGCAAAGGGAGAATTCTGATCCGTTTGAGGCTTCTGGTGAAAGAGAAACATCTTCCCATAAAAACTAGACGGAAGCTTTCTAAGAAACTTCGTTGTGATGTGTGCTTTCATCTCACGGAATTGAAACTTTCTTTTGATTGAGGAGTTTGGAAACACTCTTTTTCTAGAATCTGCAAATGGATATTTGGAGAGATCCTGAGGCCCATGTTGAAAAACGAAACATCTTCACATAAAAACTAAACAGAAGCATTCTGAGGAACTTCTTTGTGATGTGTGCATTCATCTCACATAGTTGAAACTTTCTTTGGATTGAGCAGTTTTGAAACAGTCCTTTTGTAGAATCTGCCAAGGGATATTTCTGAGCCCATTGAGTACTATGATGCACTGTGAAGTATCTTCACATAAAAGCTAGACAGAAGATTTCTGAGAAACTACCTTTCGATGTGTCCATTAATCTAACAGAGTTAAAACTTTCTTTTTATTGAGCAGTTTGGATACAGTCTTTTTGTAGAATCTGCAAAAAATATTTGCGAGCCCTTTATTGCCTATGGTGAAATAGGAATCTTCTTCACATATAAACTAGACAGAAGCTTTCGGAGAAACTTCTTTGAGATGTGTGCTTTCACCTCACAGAGTTAAACACTTTCTTTTGATTGAGCTGTTTGGAAACACTCTTTTTGTGAAATCTGTAAATGGATATTAGGAGTGCTTTGAGGCCAATGGTGACAAAGGAAATATCTTCACATAAAAACTACACAGAGAGAATTCTGAGAAACTTCATTCTGATGTGTGCATTCACCTCACAGAATTTAACCTTTCTTTTGATTGAGCAGTATGGAAATGTTCGTCTTTTAGAATTTGGAAAGGGATATTTCTTAGCCCTTTGAGGCCTATGGTGAAACTGGAAATATCTTCACATGAAAACTAGACCAAGCATTCCGGGGAACTTCTTTGTGATGTCTCCATTCATCTGACAGAGTTGAAGGTTTCTTTCAATTCAGCACTGTGGAAACCATATTTTTGTAGAATCTGCAAAGGGATATTTTTGGGACCTTTGAAGCCTATAGTGAAAGAGTAAATATCTTCACACAGAAACTAGACAGGAGCTTTCTGAGAAACTTCTTTGTGATGTGCGCATTCATCTCACAGTGTTGAAACTTTATTTTGTTTGAGCAGTTTAGAAACAGTCTTTTTCTGCAATCTGCAAAGGTATATTTCTGAGCCATTTGAGGTCTATGGTGAAAAAGAAATATCTTCACATTGAAACTAGACAGAAGAATTCTGAGAAACTTCTTTATGATGTGTGCATTCCTCTCAGGTAGGTGAAATTTTCTTTTGATGGAGCAGTTTGGAAACAGTCTTTTTCTAGTATCTGCAGAAGGATATTTGTGAGCGGTGTAAGGACTATGCTGAAAAAGGAAATATCTTCACATAAAAACTAGACAGAAGATTTCTGAGAAACTTTTTTGTGATGGTTGCTTTCATCTCACAGAGTTGAAAATTTCTTTTGATTGAGCAGTTTGGAAACAGTCTTTTCGTATCATCTGCAAAGGGATGTGTGGAGCGCTTTGTGGCCTAAGGTGAAAATGGAAATATCTTCACATAAAATCTAGACAGAAGCATTCTGAGAAACTTCTTTGTGATGTGTTCATTCGTCTCACAATGTTGAACGTTTCTTTTGATTGAGAGGTTTGTAAACAGAACTTTTGTAGGATCTGCAAAGGGATATTTGTGAGCCCCTTGATTCCTATGGCAAAATAGGAATTATCTTGAGATAAAAACTAGACAGGAGAATTCTGAGAAACTTCTCTTTGATGAGTGCATTCATTTCACATAGTTGAAACATGCTATATGGGCCAGTTTGGAAACCGTCTTTTTGTAGTGTCTGCAGACAGATATTTTTGAGTGGCTTAAAGACTGTGGTGAAAAAAGAAATATCTTCACAGAGTAACCAGAGAGAAGCTTTCTGAGAAACTTCTTTGTGATGTGTGCTTTCGTCTCACAGAGTTGAGCCTTTCTGTTGATTGACCAGTTTGGAAACATTCTTTCTGTAGAATACGCAAATGGATATTTGGAGCAATTTGCGGCCTACGGTGAAGAAGGAAATATCTTCACATAAAAACTAGACAGAAGCATTTTGAGAAACTTCTTTTTGATGTGTGTATTCATCTCACAGTGTTGAACGTTTCTTTTGATTTAGCAATTTGGAGAAAGTCTCTTGGTAGTATAAGCGGAGTTATGTTTGTGAGTGGTTTAAGGCCTACGGTGCCAAAGGAAATACCTTCACATAAAATGCAGACAGAAGCTTTTTGAGAAAACTCTTTGTGACATTTCCATTCATCTCTCATATTTGACCATTTCTTCTCATTGAGCAGTTTGGAAACAGTCTTTTCCTACAAACTGCAAAGGGACATTTCTGAGCCGTTTGGGGCCAATGGTGAAAAATAAATATCTTCACATGAAAACTAGACAGAAGCTTTCTGACAAATTTCTTTGTGATGTGCACGTTTGTCACACGGAATTGAACCCTTCTTCTGATTGAGCAGTTTGGAATCAGTCTTTTTGTAGAATCTGTGAATGTGTGTTTAGAGAGTTTTAAGGCCTAGGGTGCAAGAGGCAATGTCTTCACATAAAAACGATACAGTAGCTTTCTGAGAAACTTCTTTGTGATGTGTCCATTCATCGCACAGAGTGAAACCTTTCTTTTGATTGAGGAGTTTGGAAAATGTCTTTTCTTAGAATCTGCAAAGGGTTATTTGTGAGCCCTTTACGGCCTTTGTTGAAATATGAAATATCTTCACGTAAAAAGTAGACAGAAGATTTCTGAGAAACCTCTTTGTGATGTGTGAATTCATGTCACAGAATTCAACCTTCCTTTCAGTTGAACAGTTTGTAACCAGTCTTTTGTAGAAGCTGCAGAGGGAAATTTCTTAGCTGCTTGAGGCCTATGGTGAACAAGAAATAGCCTCACATAAAAACTAGACAGAAGGTTTCTGAGAAACTTCTTGGTGATGTGTGCCTTCATCTCACAGTGTTGAACCTTTCTTTTGATGGAGCAGTTTGGAAAGTCTTTCTGTAGAATCTGCAAATGGATATTTGGAGATATTTGAGGCTCGTGGTGAAAAAGGAAGTATCTTCACATAAAAACTAGACAGGATCGTTCCAAGAAATTTTCTGCGATGTGTCCATTCACGTCACAGAGTTGAACCTTTCTTTTGATTGAGCAGTTTGGAAACAGTCTTTTTGTAGAACCTGCAAAGGGATATTTGTGAGCCCCTTATGGCCTGTGGTGAAATACGAAATATCTTCACATAAAAACTAGACAGGAGCTTTCGGAGAAACTCCCTTGTGATGTGTGCATTCACCTTACAGAGTTGAAACTTTCTTTTGGTTGAGCAGATTGGAAAGAGGCTTATTGTACAATCTGCAAAGGGAGAATTCTGATCCTTTTGAGGCTTCTGGTGAAAGAGAAACATCTTCCCATTAAAACTAGACGGAAGCTTTCTAAGAAACTTCGGTGTGATGTGTGCTTTCATCTCACAGAATTGAAACTTTCTTTTGATTGAGGAGTTTGGAAACACTCTTTTTCTAGAATCTGCAAGTGGATATTTGGAGAGCTTTTGAGGCCCATGTTGAAAAACGAAACATCTTCACGTAAAAACTAAACAGAAGCATTCTGAGGAACTTCCTTGTGATGTGTGCATTCATCTCACATAGTTGAAACTTTCTTTGGATTGAGCAGTTTTGAAACAGTCCTTTTGTAGAATCTGCCAAGGGATATTTCTGAGCCCATTGAGTACTATGCTGCAATGTGAAGTATCTTCACATAAAAACTAGACAGAAGTTTTCTGAGAAACTACCTTTCGATGTGTCCATTAATCTAACAGAGTTAAAACTTTCTTTTTATTGAGCAGTTTGGATACAGTCTTTTTGTAGAATCTGCAAAAAATATTTGCGAGCCCTTTATTGCCTATGGTGAAATAGGAATCTTCTTCACATATAAACTAGACAGAAGCTTTCGGAAAAACTTCTTTGAGATGTGTGCTTTCACCTCACAGAGTTAAACACTTTCTTTTGATTGAGCTGTTTGGAAACACTCTTTTTGTGAAATCTGTAAATGGATATTAGGAGTGCTTTGAGGCCAATGGTGACAAAGGAAATATCTTCACATAAAAACTAAACAGAAGAATTCTGAGAAACTTCATTCTGACGTGGGCATTAACCTCAGAGAACTTAACCTTTCTTTTGATTGAGAAGTATGGAAACGGTCGTCTTTTAGAATCTGGAAAGGGATATTTCTTAGCCCTTTGAGGCCTACGGTGAAACTGGAAATATCTTCACATGAAAAGTAGACCGAAGCATTCCGGGGAACTTCTTTGTGATGTCTCCATTCATCTGACAGAGTTGAAGGTTTCTTTCAATTCAGCACTGTGGAAACCATATTTTTGTAGAATCTGCAAAGGGATATTTTTGGGACCTTTGAAGCCTATAGTGAAATAGTAAATATCTTCACACAGAAACTAGACAGGAGCTTTCTGAGAAACTTCTTTCTGATGTGTGCATTCATCTCACAGTGTTGAAACTTTATTTTGTTTGAGAAGTTTAGAAACAGTCTTTTTCTGCAATCTGCAAAGGTATATTTCTGAGCCATTTGAGGTCTATGGTGAAAAAGAAATATCTTCACATTTAAACTAGACAGAAGAATTCTGAGAAACTTCTTTATGATGTGTGCATTCATCTCAGGTAGGTGAAATTTTCTTTTGATGGAGCAGTTTGGAAACAGTCTTTTTCTAGTATCTGCAGAAGGATATTTGTGAGCGGTGTAAGGACTATGCTGAAAAAGGAAATATCTTCACATAAAAACTAGACAGAAGATTTCTGAGAAACTTTTTTGTGATGGGTGCTTTCATCTCACAGAGTTGAAAGTTTCTTTTGATTGAGCAGTTTGGAAACAGTCTTTTCGTATCATCTGCAAAGGGATGTTTGGAACGCTTTGTGGCCTAAGGTGAAAATGGAAATATCTTCACATAAAATCTAGACACAAGCATTCTGAGAAACTTCTTTGTGATGTGTGCATTCATCTCACAATGTTGAACGTTTCTTTTGATTGAGCAGCTTGGAAACAGAACTTTTGTAGAATCTGCAAAGGGATATTTGTGAGCACATTGATTCCTATGGCAAAATAGGAATTATCTTGAGATAAAAGCTAGACAGAAGGTTTCTAAGAAATACTTTTGTGAAGTGTGCTTTCATCTCACAGAATTGAACCTTTCTTTTCATTGAGCAGTTTGAAAACACTATTTTTGTAGAATCTGCAAGTGGATATATGGAGTGTTTTCAGGCCCATGGTGAAAAAGTAAATATCTTCACATTAAAACCAGACAGAAGTTTTCTGAGAAACTTCTTTGTGATGTGTGCTTTCGTCTCACAGAGTTGAGCCTTTCTGTTGATTGACCAGTTTGGAAACATTCTTTCTGTAGAATCCGCAAATGGATATTTGGAGCAATTTGCGGCCTACGGTGAAGAAGGAAATATCTTCACATAAAAACTAGACAGAAGCATTTTGAGAAACTTCTTTTTGATGTGTGTATTCATCTCTCAGAGTTGAACGTTTCTTTTGATTTAGCAATTTGGAGAAAGTCTCTTGGTAGTATAAGCGGAGTTATGTTTGTGAGTGGTTTAAGGCCTACGGTGCTAAAGGAAATACCTTCACATAAAATGCAGACAGAAGCTTTTTGAGAAAACTCTTTGTGACATGTCCATTCATCTCTAATTGTTGACCATTTCTTCTCATTGAGCAGTTTGGAAACAGTCTTTTCCTACAAACTGCAAAGGGACATTTCTGAGCCGTTTGGGGCCAATGGTGAAAAATAAATATCTTCACATGAAAACTAGACAGATGCTTTCTGACAAATTTCTTTGTGATGTGCACGTTTGTCACAAGGAATTGAACCTTTCTTCTGATTGAGCAGTTTGGAATCAGTCTTTTTGTAGAATCTGTGAATGTATATTTAGAGAGTTTTAAGGCCTAGAGTGAAAAAGGAAACGTCTTCACATAAAAACGACACAGTAGCTTTCTGAGAAATTTCTTTGTGATGTGTCCATTCATCGCACAGAGTGAAACATTTCTTTTGATTGAGGAGTTTGGAAAATGTCTTTTCTTAGAATCCGCAAAGGGATATTTGTGAGCCCTTTATGGCCTTTGTTGAAATATGAAATATCTTCACATAAAAAGTAGACAGAAGATTTCTGAGAAACCTCTTTGTGATGTGTGAATTCATGTCACAGAATTCAACCTTCCTTTCAGTTGAGCAGTTTGTAACCAGTCTTTTGTAGAAGCTGCAGAGGGAAATTTCTTAGCTGCTTGAGGCCTATGGTGAACAAGAAATAGCCTCACATAAACAGTAGACCGAAGATTTCTGAGAAACTTCTTTGTGATGTGTGCCTTCATCTCACTGTGTTGAACCTTTCTTTTGATTGAGCAGTTTGGGAAGTCTTTCTGTAGAATCTGCAAATGGATATTTGGAGATATTTGAGGCCCTTGGTGAAAAAGGAAGTATCTTCACATAAAAACTAGACAGAATGATTCCGAAAAATTTTTTGTGATGTGTCCATTCACGTCACAGAGTTGAACCTTTCTTTTGATTGAGCAGTTTGAAAACAGTCTTTTTGTAGAACCTGCAAAGGGATATTTGTGAGCCCCTTATGGCCTGTGGTGAAATACGAAATATCTTCACATAAAAACTAGACAGGAGCTTTCTGAGAAACTCCCTTGTGATGTGTGCATTCACCTCACAGAGTTGAAACTTTCTTTTGATTGAGCAGATTGGAAAGAGGCTCATTGTACAATCTGCAAAGGGAGAATTCTGATCCGTTTGAGGCTTATGGTGAAAGAGAAACATCTTCCCATAAAAACTAGACGGACGCTTTCTAAGAAACTTCGTTGTGATGTGTGCTTTCGTCTCACAGAATTGAAACTATCCTTTGATTGAGGAGTTTGGAAACACTCTTTTTCTAGAATATGCAAATGGATATTTGGAGAGCTTTTGAGGCCCGTGGTGAAAAACGAAATATCTTCACGTAAAAACTAAACAGAAGCATTCTGAAGAACTCCTTTGTGATGTGTGCATTCATCTCACATAGTTGAAACTTTCTTTGGATTGAGCAGTTTTGAAACAGTCCTTTTGTAGAATCTGCCAGGGGATATTTCTGAGCCCATTGAGTACTATGATGCACTGTGAAGTATCTTCACATAAAAACTAGACAGAAGTTTTCTGAGAAACTACTTTTCGATGTGTCCGTTAATCTAACAGAGTTAAAACTTTCTTTTTATTGAGCAGTTTGGACACAGTCTTTTTGTAGAATCTGCAAAACATATTTGTGAGCCCTTTATTGCCTATGGTGAAATAGGAATCATCTTCACATATAAACTAGACAGAAGCGTTCTGAGAAACTTCATTGAGATGTGTGCTTTCACCTCACAGAGTTAAACACTTTCTTTTGATTGAGCTGTTTGGAAACACTCTTTTTGTGAAATCTGTAAATGGATATTAGGAGTGCTTTGAGGCCAATGGTGACAAAGGAAATAACTTCTCATAAAAACTAAACAGAAGAATTCTGAGAAATTTCATTCTCATGTGTGCATTCACCTCACAGAATTTAAGCTTTCTTTTGATTGAGCAGTATGGAAGTGGTTGTCTTTTAGAATCTGGAAAGGGATATTTCTTGGCCCTTTGAGGCCTATGGTGAAACTGGAAATATCTTTACATGAAAACTAGACCGAAGCGTTCCGAGGAACTTCTTTGTGATGTCTCCATTCATCTGACAGAGTTGAAGGTTTCTTTTAATTCAGCACTGTGGAAACCGTATTTTTGCAGAATCTGCAAAGGGATATTTTTGAGACCTTTGAAGCCTACAGTGAAATAGTAAATATCTTCACATAGAAACTAGACAGGAGCTTTCTGAGAAACTTCTTTGTGATGTGTGCATTCATCTCACAGTGTTGAAACTTTATTTTATTTGAGCAGTTTAGAGACAGTCTTTTTCTGCAATCTGCAAAGGCTTATTTCTGAGCCATTTGAGGTCTGTGGTGAAAGAGAAATATCTTCACATTTAAACTAGACAGAAGAATTCTGAGAAACTTCTTTGTGATGTGTGCATTCATCTCAGAGAGGTGAACTTTTCTTTTGATGGAGCAGTTTGGAAACAGTATTTTTTTAGTATCTGCAGAAGGATATTTGTGAGCAGTTTAAGGCCTATGGTGAAAAAGGAAATATCTTCACATAAAAACTAGACAGAAGATTTCTGAGAAACTTTCTTGTGATGGGTGCTTTCATCTCACAGAGTTGAAAATTTCTTTTGATTGAGCAGTTTGGAAACAGTCTTTTCGTATCATCTGCAAAGGGATGTTTGGAGCGCTTTGTGGTCTAAGGTGAAAATGGAAATATCTTCACATAAAATCTAGACAGAAGCATTCTGAGAAACTTCTTTGTGATGTGTTCATTCACCTCACAATGTTGAACGTTTCTTTTGATTGAGAGCTTTGTAAACAGAACTTTTGTAGAATCTGCAAAGGGATATTTGTGAGCCCCTTGATTCCTATGGCAAAATAGGAATTATCTTGAGATAAAAACTAGACAGAAGAATTCTGAGAAACTTCTCTTTGATGAGTGCATTCATTTCACATATTTGAAACATGCTATATGGGCCAGTTTGGAAACAGTCTTTTTGTAGTGTCTGCAGACAGATATTTTTGAGTGGCTTAAAGACTGTGGTGAAAAAAGAAATATCTTCACAGAGTAACCAGACAGAAGCTTTCTGAGAAACTTCTTTGTGATGTGTGCTTTCGTCTCACAGAGTTGAGCCTTTCTGTTGATTGACCAGTTTGGAAACATTCTTTCTGTAGAATCCGCAAATGGATATTTGGAGCAATTTGCGGCCTACGGTGAAGAAGGAAATATCTTCACATAAAAACTAGACAGAAGCATTTTGAGAAACTTCTTTTTGATGTGTGTATTCATCTCACAGAGTTGAACGTTTCTTTTGATTTAGCAATTTGGAGAAAGTCTCTTGGTAGTATAAGCAGAGTTATGTTTGTGAGTGGTTTAAGGCCTACGGTGCCAAAGGAAATACCTTCACATAAAATGTAGACAGAAGAATTTTGAGAAAACTCCTTGTGACATTTCCATTCATCTCTAATAGTTGACCATTTCTTCTCATTGAGCAGTTTGGAAACAGTCTTTTCCTACAAACTGCAAAGGGATATTTCTGAGCCGTTTGGGGCCAATGGTGAAAAATAAATATCTTCACATGAAAACTAGGCAGAAGCTTTCTGACAAATTTCTTTGTGATGTGCACGTTTGTCACACGGAACTGAACCTTTCTTCTGATTGAGCAGTTTGGAATCAGTCTTTTTGTAGAATCTGTGAATGTATATTTAGAGAGTTTTAAGGCCTAGAGTGAAAAAGGAAACGTCTTCACATAAAAACGACGCAGTAGCTTTCTGAGAAACTTCTTTGTGATGTGTCCATTCATCGCACAGAGTGAAACCTGTCTTTTGATTGAGGAGTTTGGAAAATGTCTTTTCTTAGAATCTGCAAAGGCATATTTGTGAGCCCTTTATGGCCTTTGTTGAAATATGAAATATCTTCACATAAAAAGTAGACAGAAGATTTCTGAGAAATCTCTTTGTGATGTGTGAATTCATGTCACAGAATTCAACCTTCCTTTCAGTTGAGCAGTTTGGAACCAGTCTTTTGTAGAAGCTGCAGAGGGAAATTTCTTAGCTGCTTGAGGCCTATGGTGAACCAGAAATAGCCTCACATAAAAAGTAGACAGAAGATTTCTGAGAAACTTCTTTGTGATGTGTGCTTTCATCTCACAGTGTTGAACCTTTCTTTGATTGAGCAGTTTGGAAAGTCTTTTTTGTAGAATCTGCAAATGGATATTTGGAGCTATTTCAGGCCCATGGTGAAAAAGAAAGTATCTTCACATAAAAACTAGACAGAATCATTCCAAGAAATTTTCTGCGATGAGTCCATTCACGTCACAGAGTTGAACCTTTCTTTTGATTGAGCAGTTTGGAAACAGTCTTTTTGTGGAACCTGCAAAGGGATATTTGTGAGCCCCTTGTGGTCT
This sequence comes from Homo sapiens, assembly GCF_000001405.40. Taxonomy (NCBI): domain Eukaryota; kingdom Metazoa; phylum Chordata; class Mammalia; order Primates; family Hominidae; genus Homo; species Homo sapiens. The sequence continues at coordinate 16,211,704 of NC_000013.11, forward strand.
TTGGTGAAATACGAAATATCTTCAAATAAAAACTAGACAGGAGCTTTCTGAGAAACTAACTTGTGATGTGTGCATTCACCTCACAGAGTTGAAACTTTCTTTTGATTGAGCAGATTGGAAAGAGGCTTATTGTACAATCTGCAAAGGGAGAATTCCGATCCGTTTGAGGCTTCTGGTGAAAGAGAAACATCTTCCCATAAAAACTAGACGGAAGCTTTCTAAGAAACTTCGGTGTGATGTGGGCTTTCATCTCACAGAATTGAAACTTTCTTTTGATTGAGGAGTTTGGAAACACTCTTTTTCTAGAATCTGCAAGTGGATATTTGGAGAGCTTTTGAGGCCCATGTTGAAAAACGAAACATCTTCACGTAAAAACTAAACAGAAGCATTCTGAGAAACTTCTTTGTGATGTGTGCATTCATCTCACAGAGTTGAAACTTTCTTTGGATTGAGCAGTTTGGAAACAGTCCTTTTGTAGAATCTGCAAAGGGATATTTCTGAGCCCATTGAGTACTATGGTGAAATGTGAAATATCTTCACATAAAAACTAGACAGAAGTTTTCTGAGAAACTACTTTTCGATGTGTCCATTAATCTAACAGAGTTGAAACTTTCTTTTTATTGAGCAGTTTGGATACAGTCTTTTTGTAGAATCTGCAAAAAATATTTGTGAGCCCTTTATTGCCTATGGTGAAATAGGAATCTTCTTCACATATAAACTAGACAGAAGCTTTCGGAGAAACTTCTTTGAGATGTGTGCTTTCACCTCACAGAGTTAAACACTTTCTTTTGATTGAGCTGTTTGGAAACACTCTTTTTGTGAAATCTGTAAATGGATATTAGGAGTGCTTTGAGACCAATGGTGACAAAGGAAATATCTTCACATAAAAACTACACAGAAGAATTCTGAGAAACTTCATTCTGACGTGGGCATTAACCTCAGAGAATTTAACCTTTCTTTTGATTGAGAAGTATGGAAACGGCCGTCTTTTAAAATCTGGAATGGGATATTTCTTAGCCCTTTGAGGCCTACGGTGAAACTGGAAATATCTTCACATGAAAAGTAGACCGAAGCGTTCCGAGGAACTTCTTTGTGATGTCTCCATTCATCTGACAGAGTTGAAGGTTTCTTTTAATTCAGCACTGTGGAAACCGTATTTTTGCAGAATCTGCAAAGGGATATTTTTGAGACCTTTGAAGCCTACAGTGAAATAGTAAATATCTTCACATAGTAACTAGACAGGAGCTTTCTGAGAAACTTCTTTGTGATGTGTGCATTCATCTCACAGTGTTGAAACTTTATTTTATTTGAGCAGTTTAGAGACAGTCTTTTTCTGCAATCTGCAAAGGCATATTTCTGAGCCATTTGAAGTCTGTGGTGAAAGAGAAATATCTTCACATTTAAACTAGACAGAAGAATTCTGAGAAACTTCTTTATGATGGGTGCATTCATCTCAGGTAGGTGAAATTTTCTTTTGATGGAGCAGTTTGGAAACAGTCTTTTTCTAGTATCTGCAGAAGGATATTTGTGAGCGGTGTAAGGACTACGCTGAAAAAGGAAATATCTTCACATAAAAACTAGACAGAAGATTTCTGAGAAACTTTTTTGTGATGGGTGCTTTCATCTCACAGAGTTGAAAATTTCTTTTGATTGAGCAGTTTGGAAACAGTCTTTTCGTATCATCTGCAAAGGGATGTTTGGAGCGCTTTGTGGCCTAAGGTGAAAATGGAAATGTCTTCACAGAAAATCTAGACAGAAGCATTCTGAGAAACTTCTTTGTGATGTGTTCATTCATCTCACAATGTTGAACGTTTCTTTTGATTGAGAGGTTTGTAAACAGAACTTTTGTAGAATCTGCAAAGGGATATTTGTGAGCCCCTTGATTCCTATGGCAAAATAGGAATTATCTTGAGATAAAAACTAGACAGAAGAATTCGGAGAAACTTCTCTTTGATGAGTGCATTCATTTCACATAGTTGAAACATGCTATATGGGCCAGTTTGGAAACTGTCTTTTTGTAGTGTCTGCAGACAGATATTTTTGAGTGGCTTAAAGACTGTGGTGAAAAAAGAAATATCTTCACAGAGTAACCAGACAGAAGCTTTCTGAGAAACTTCTTTGTGATGTGTGCTATCGTCTCACAGAGTTGAGCCTTTCTGTTGATTGACCAGTTTGGAAACATTCTTTTTGTAGAATCCGCAAATGGATATTTGGAACAATTTGCGGCCTACGGTGAAGAAGGAAATATCTTCACATAAAAACTAGACAGAACCATTTTGAGAAACTTCTTTTTGATGTGTGTATTCATCTCACAGAGTTGAACGTTTCTTTTGATTTAGCAATTTGGAGAAAGTCTCTTGGTAGTATAAGCGGAGTTATGTTTGTGAGTGGTTTAAGGCCTACGGTGCCAAAGGAAATACCTTCACAAAAAATGTAGACAGAAGCTTTTTGAGAAAACTCTTTGTGACATGTCCATTCATCTCTAATAGTTGACCATTTCTTCTCATTGAGCAGTTTGGAAACAGTCTTTTCCTACAAACTGCAAAGGGACATTTCTGAGCCGTTTGGGGCCAATGGTGAAAAATAAATATCTTCACATGAAAACTAGACAGAAGGTTTCTGACAAATTTCTTTCTGATGTGCACGTTTGTCACACGGAACTGAACCTTTCTTCTGATTGAGCAGTTTGGAATCAGTCTTTTTGTAGAATCTGTGAATGTATATTTAGAGAGTTTTAAGGCCTAGAGTGAAAAAGGAAACGTCTTCACATAAAAACGACACAGTAGCTTTCTGAGAAACTTCTTCGTGATGTGTCCATTCATCTCACAGAGTTAAACCTTTCTTTTGGTTGAGGAGTTTGGAAAACGTCTTTTCTTAGAATCTGCGAAGGGATATTTGTGAGTCCTTTATGGCCTTTGTTGAAATATGAAATATCTTCACATAAAAAGTAGACAGAAGATTTCTGAAAAACCTCTTTGTGATGTGTGAATTCATGTCACAGAATTCAACCTTTCTTTCAGTTGAGCAGTTTGGAAACAGTCTTTTGTAGAAGCTGCAGAGGGAAATTTCTTAGCTGCTTGAGGCCTATGGTGAACAAGAAATAGCCTCACATAAAAACTAGACAGAAGATTTCTGAGAAACTTCTTTGTGATGTGTGCCTTCATCTCACTGTGTTGAACCTTTCTTTTGATTGAGCAGTTTGGGAAGTCTTTCTGTAGAATCTGCAAATGGATATTTGGAGATATTTGAGGCCCGTGGTGAAAAAGGAAGTATCTTCACATAAAATCTAGACAGAATCATTCCGAGAAATTTTTTGTGATGTGTCCATTCACGTCACAGAGTTGAACCTTTCTTTTGATTGAGCAGTTTGGAAACAGTCTTTGTGTAGAACCTGCAAAGGGATATTTGTGAGTCCCTTATGGCCTGTGGTGAAATACGAAATATCTTCACACAAAAACTAGACAGGAGCTTTCTGAGAAACTCCCTTGTGATGTGTGCATTCACCTCCCAGAGTTGAAACTTTCTTTTGATTGAGCAGATTGGAAAGAGGCTTACTGTACAATCTGCAAAGGGAGAATTCTGATCCGTTTGAGGCTTCTGGTGAAAGAGAAACATCTTCCCATAAAAACTACAAGGAATCTTTCTAAGAAACTTCGGTGTGATGTGTGCTTTCATCTCACAGAATTGAAACTTTCTTTTGATTGAGGAGTTTGGAAACACTCTTTTTCTAGAATCTGCAAGTGGATATTTGGAGAGCTTTTGAGGCCCATGTTGAAAAACGAAACATCTTCACGTAAAAACTAAACAGAAGCATTCTGAGGAACTTCTTTGTGATGTGTGCATTCATCTCACATAGTTGAAACTTTTTTTGGATTGAGCAGTTTGGAAACAGTCATTTTGTAAAATCTGCAAAGGGATATTTCTGAACCCATTGAGTACTATGGTGCAATGTGAAATATCTTCACATAAAAACTAGACAAAAGTTTTCTGAGAAACTACTTTTCGATGTGTCCATTAATCTAACAGAGTTAAAACTTTCTTTTTATTGAGCAGTTAGGATACAGTCTTTTTGTAGAATCTGCAAAAAATATTTGTGAGCCCTTTATTGCCTATGGTGAAATAGGAATCTTCTTCACATATAAACTAGACAGAAGCTTTCTGAGAAACTTCATTGAGATGTGTGCTTTCACCTCACAGAGTTAAACACTTTCTTTTGATTGAGCTGTTTGGAAACACTCTTTTTGTGAAATCTGTAAATAGTTATTAGGAGTGATATGAGGCCAATGGTGGCAAAGGAAATATCTTTACATAAAAACTAAACAGAAGAATTCTGAGAAACTTCATTCTGATGTGTGCATTCACCTCACAGAATTTAACCTTTCTTTTGATTGAGCAGTATGGAAATGTTCGTCTTTTAGAATTTGGAAAGGGATATTTCTTAGCCCTTTGAGGCCTATGGTGAAACTGGAAATATCTTCACATGAAAACTAGACCAAAGCATTCCGAGGAACTTCTTTGTGATGTCTCCATTCATCTGACAGAGTTGAAGGTTTCTTTTAATTCAGCACTGTGGAAACCGTATTTTTGTAGAATCTGCAAAGGGATATTTTTGAGACCTTTGAAGCCTACAGTGAAATAGTAAATATCTTCACATAGAAACTAGACAGGAGCTTTCTGAGAAACTTCTTTGTGATGTGTGCATTCATCTCACAGTGTTGAAACTTTATTTTATTTGAGCAGTTTAGAGACAGTCTTTTTCTGCAATCTGCAAAGGCATATTTCTGAGCCATTTGAGGTCTGTGGTGAAAGAGAAATATCTTCACATTTAAACTAGACAGAAGAATTCTGAGCAAACTTCTTTATGATGGGTGCATTCATCTCAGGTAGGTGAAATTTTCTTTTGATGGAGCAGTTTGGAAACAGTCTTTTTCTAGTATCTGCAGAAGGATATTTGTGAGCGGTGTAAGGACTACGCTGAAAAAGGAAATATCTTCACATAAAAACTAGACAGAAGATATCTGAGAAACTTTTTTGTGATGGGTGCTTTCATCTCACAGAGTTGAAAATTTCTTTTGATTGAGCAGTTTGGAAACAGTCTTTTCGTATCATCTGCAAAGGGATGTTTGGAGCGCTTTGTGGCCTAAGGTGAAAATGGAAATATCCTCACATAAAATCTAGACAGAAGCATTCTGAGAAACTTCTTTGTGATGTGTTCATTCATCTCACAATGTTGAACGTTTCTTTTGATTGAGAGGTTTGTAAACACAACTTTTGTAGAATCTGCAAAGGGATATTTGTGAGCCCCTTGATTCCTATGGCAAAATAGGAATTCTCTTGAGATAAAAACTAGACAGAAGAATTCTGAGAAACTTCTCTTTGATGAGTGCATTCATTTCACATAGTTGAAACATGCTATATGGGCCAGTTTGGAAACAGTCTTTTTGTAGTGTCTGCAGACAGATATTTTTGAGTGGCTTAAAGACTGTGGTGAAAAAAGAAATATCTTCACAGAGTAACCAGACAGAAGCTTTCTGAGAAACTTTGTGATGTGTGTTTTCGTCTCACAGAGTTGAGCCTTTCTTTTGATTGACCAGTTTGGAAACACTCTTTTTGTAGAATCTGCAAATGGATATTTGGAGCAATTTGAGAACTATGGTGAAAAAGGAAATATCTTCACATAAAAACTAGACAGAAAGCATTTTGAGAAACTTCTTTTTGATGTGTGTATTCATCTCACAGAGTTGAACGTTTCTTTTGATTTAGCGATTTGGAGAAAGTCTCTTGGTAGTATAAGCGGAGTTATGTTTGTGAGTGGTTTAAGGCCTACGGTGCCAAAGGAAATACCTTCACATAAAATGTAGACAGAAGCTTTATGAGAAAACTCTTTGTGACATTTCCATTCATCTCTAATAGTTGACCATTTCTTTTCATTGAGCAGTTTGGAAACAGTCTTTTCCTACAAACTGCAAAGGGATATTTCTGAGCCGTTTGGGGCCAATGGTGAAAAATAAATATCTTCACATGAAAACTAGACAGAAGCTTTCTGACAAATTTCTTTGTGATGTGCACGTTTGTCACACGGAATTGAAACTTTCTTCTGATTGAGCAGTTTGGAATCCGTCTTTTTGTAGAATCTGTGAATGTATATTTAGAGAGTTTTAAGGCCTAGAGTGAAAAAGGAAACGTCTTCACATAAAAACGACACAGTAGCTTTCTGAGAAACTTCTTTGTGATGTGTCCATTCATCGCACAGAGTGAAACCTTTCTTTTGATTGAGGAGTTTGGAAAATGTCTTTTCTTAGAATCTGCAAAGGGATATTTGTGATCCTTTTATGGCCTTTGTTGAAATATGAAATATCTTCACGTAAAAAGTAGACAGAAGATTTCTGAAAAACCTCTTTGTGATGTGTGAATTCATGTCACAGAATTCAACCTTCCTTTCAGTTGAGCAGTTTGGAACCAGTCTTTTGTAGAAGCTGCAGAGGGAAATTTCTTAGCTGCTTGAGGCCTATGGTGAACAAGAAATAGCCTCACATAAAAAGTAGACAGAAGATTTCTGAGAAACTTTTTTGTGATGTGTGCCTTCATCTCACTGTGTTGAACCTTTCTTTTGTTTGAGCAGTTTGGGAAGTCTTTCTGTAGAATCTGCAAATGGATATTTGGAGATATTTGAGGCCCTTGGTGAAAAAGGAAGTATCTTCACATAAAACTAGACAGAATCATTCCGAGAAATTTTTTGTGATGTGTCCATTCACGTCACAGAGTTGAACCTTTCTTTTGATTGAGCAGTTTGGAAACAGTCTTTGTGTAGAACCTGCAAAGGGATATTTGTGAGCCCCTTATGGCCTGTGGTGAAATACGAAATATCTTCACACAAAAACTAGACAGGAGCTTTCTGAGAAACTCCCTTGTGATGTGTGCATTCACCTCACAGAGTTGAAACTTTCTTTTGATTGAGCAGATTGGAAAGAGGCTTATTGTACAATCTGCAAAGGGAGAATTCTGATCCGTTTGAGGCTTATGGTGAAAGAGAAACATCTTCCCATAAAAACTAGACGGAAGCTTTCTAAGAAACTTCGTTGTGATGTGTGCTTTCATCTCACGGAATTGAAACTTTCTTTTGATTGAGGAGTTTGGAAACACTCTTTTTCTAGAATCTGCAAATGGATATTTGGAGAGATCCTGAGGCCCATGTTGAAAAACGAAACATCTTCACGTAAAAACTAAACAGAAGCATTCTGAGGAACTTCTTTGTGATGTGTGCATTCATCTCACATAGTTGAAACTTTCTTTGGATTGAGCAGTTTTGAAACAGTCCTTTTGTAGAATCTGCCAAGGGATATTTCTGAGCCCATTGAGTACTATGATGCACTGTGAAGTATCTTCACATAAAAACTAGACAGAAGTTTTCCGAGAAACTACTTTTCGATGTGTCCGTTAATCTAACAGAGTTAAAACTTTCTTTTTATTGAGCAGTTTGGACACAGTCTTTTTGTAGAAACTGCAAAAAATATTTGTGAGCCCTTTATTGCCTATGGTGAAATAGGAATCTTCTTCACATATAAACTAGACAGAAGCTTTCTGAGAAACTCCTTGGAGATGTGTGCTTTCACCTCACAGAGTTAAACACTTTCTTTTGATTGAGCTGTTTGGAAACACTCTTTTTGTGAAATCTGTAAATGGATATTAGGAGTGCTTTGAGGCCAATGGTGACAAAGGAAATATCTTCACATAAAAACTAAACAGAAGAATTCTGAGAAACTTCATTCTGACGTGGGCATTAACCTCAGAGAATTTAACCTTTCTTTTGATTGAGAAGTATGGAAACGGTCGTCTTTTAGAATCTGGAAAGGGATATTTCTTAGCCCTTTGAGGCCTACGGTGAAACTGGAAATATCTTCACATGAAAAGTAGACCGAAGCATTCCGAGGAACTTCTTTGTGATGTCTCCATTCATCTGACAGAGTTGAAGGTTTCTTTTAATTCAGCACTGTGGAAACCGTATTTTTGTAGAATCTGTAAAGGGATATTTTTGAGACCTTTGAAGCCTATAGTGAAATAGTAAATATCTTCACATAGAAACTAGACAGGAGCTTTCTGAGAAACTTCTTTGTGATGTGTGCATTCATCTCACAGTGTTGAAACTTTATTTTATTTGAGCAGTTTAGAGACAGTCTTTTTCTGCAATCTGCAAAGGCATATTTCTGAGCCATTTGAGGTCTGTGGTGAAAGAGAAATATCTTCACATTTAAACTGGACAGAAGAATTCTGAGAAACTTCTTTATGATGTGTGCATTCATCTCAGGTAGGTGAAATTTTCTTTTGATGGAGCAGTTTGGAAACAGTCTTTTTCTAGTATCTGCAGAAGGATATTTGTGAGCGGTGTAAGGACTATGGTGAAAAAGGAAATATCTTCACATAAAAACTAGACAGAAGATTTCTGAGAAACTTTTTTGTGATGGGTGCTTTCATCTCACAGAGTTGAAAATTTCTTTTGATTGAGCAGTTTGGAAACAGTCTTTTCGTATCATCTGCAAAGGCATGTTTGGAGCGCTTTGTGGCCTAAGGTGAAAATGGAAATATCTTCACATAAAATCTAGACAGAAGCATTCTGAGAAGCTTCTTTATGATGTGTTCATTCATCTCACAATGTTGAACGTTTCTTTTGATTGAGAGGTTTGTAAACAGAACTTTTGTAGAATCTGCAAAGGGATATTTGTGAGCCCCTTGATTCCTATGGCAAAATAGGAATTATCTTGAGATAAAAACTAGACAGAAGAATTCTGAGAAACTTCTCTTTGATGAGTGCATTCATTTCACATAGTTGAAACATGCTATATGGGCCAGTTTGGAAACCGTCTTTTTGTAGTGTCTGCAGACAGATATTTTTGAGTGGCTTAAAGACTGTGGTGAAAAAAGAAATATCTTCACAGAGTAACCAGACAGAAGCTTTCTGAGAAACTTCTTTGTGATGTGTGCTTTCGTCTCACAGAGTTGAGCCTTTCTGTTGATTGACCAGTTTGGAAACATTCTTTTTGTAGAATCCGCAAATGGATATTTGGAACAATTTGCGGCCTACGGTGAAGAAGGAAATATCTTCACATAAAAACTAGACAGAAGCATTTTGAGAAACTTCTTTTTGATGTGTGTATTCATCTCACAGAGTTGAACGTTTCTTTTGATTTAGCAATTTGGAGAAAGTCTCTTGGTAGTATAAGCGGAGTTATGTTTGTGAGTGGTTTAAGGCCTAAGGTGCCAAAGGAAATACCTTCACATAAAATGCAGACAGAAGCTTTTTGAGAAAACTCTTTGTGACATTTCCATTCATCTCTAAGAGTTGACCATTTCTTTTCATTGAGCAGTTTGGAAACAGTCTTTTTGTACAAAATGCAAAGGGATATTTCTGAGCAGTTTGAGGCCAATGGTGAAAAATAAATATCTTCACATGAAAACTAGACAGAAGCTTTCTGACAAATTGCTTTGTGATGTGCAAGTTTGTCACACGGAATTGAACTTTTCTTCTGATTGAGCAGTTTGGAATCAGTCTTTTTGTAGAATCTGTGAATGTATATTTAGGGAGTTTTAAGGCCTAGAGTGAAAAAGGAAACGTCTTCACATAAAAACGACACAGTAGCTTTCTGAGAAACTTCTTTGTGATGTGTCCATTCATCGCACAGAGTGAAACCTTTCTTTTGATTGAGGAGTTTGGAAAATGTCTTTCCTTAGAATCTGCAAAGGGATATTTGTGAGCCCTTTATGGCCTTTGTTGAAATATGAAATATCTTCACATAAAAAGTAGACAGAAGATTTCTGAAAAACCTCTTTGTGATGTGTGAATTCATGTCACAGAATTCAACCTTCCTTTCAGTTGAGCAGTTTGGAACCAGTCTTTTGTGGAAGCTGCAGAGGGAAATTTCTTAGCTGCTTGAGGCCTATGGTGAACAAGAAATAGCCTCACATAAAAAGTAGACAGAAGATTTCTGAGAAAGTTCTTTGTGATGTGTGCCTTCATCTCACTGTGTTGAACCTTTCTTTTGATTGAGCAGTTTGGGAAGTCTTTCTGTAGAATCTGCAAATGGATATTTGGAGATATTTGAGGCCCTTGGTGAAAAAGGAAGTATCTTCACATAAAAACTAGACAGAATCATTCCGAGAAATTTTTTGTGATGTGTCCATTCACGTCACAGAGTTGAACCTTTATTTTGATTGAGCAGTTTGAAAACAGTCTTTTTGTAGAACCTGCAAAGGGATATTTGTGAGCCCCTTATGGCCTGTGGTGAAATACGAAATATCTTCACATAAAAACTAGACAGGAGCTTTCTCAGAAACTCCCTTGTGATGTGTGCATTCACCTCACAGACTTGAAACTGTCTTTTGATTGAGCAGATTGGAAAGAGGCTTATTGTACAATCTGCAAAGGGAGAATTCTGATCCGTTTGAGGCTTCTGGTGAAAGAGAAACATCTTCCCATAAAAACTAGACGGAAGCTTTCTAAGAAACTTCGGTGTGATGTGTGTTTTCATCTCAGGGAATTGAAACTTTCTTTTCATTGAGGAGTTTGGAAACACTCTTTTTCTAGAATCTGCAAATGGATATTTGGAGAGATTCTGAGGCCCATGTTGAAAAACGAAACATCTTCACGTAAAAACTAAACAGAAGCATTCTGAGGAACTTCTTTGTGATGGGTGCATTCATCTCACATAGTTGAAACTTTCTTTGGATTGAGCAGTTTTGAAACAGTCCTTTTGTAGAATCTGCCAAGGGATATTTCTGAGCCGATTGAGTACTATGCTGCAATGTGAAGTATCTTCACATAAAAACTAGACAGAAGTTTTCTGAGAAACTACTTTTCGATGTGTCCGTTAATCTAACAGAGTTAAAACTTTCTTTTTATTGAGCAGTTTGGACACAGTCTTTTTGTAGAATCTGCAAAAAATATTTGTGAGCCCTTTATTGCCTATGGTGAAATAGGAATCTTCTTCACATATAAACTAGACAGAAGCTTTCTGAGAAACTTCTTGGAGATGTGTGCTTTCACCTCACAGAGTTAAACACTTTCTTTTGATTGAGCTGTTTGGAAACACTCTTTTTGTGAAATCTGTAAATGGATATTAGGAGTGCTTTGAGGCCAATGGTGACAAAGGAAATATCTTCACATAAAAACTAAACAGAAGAATTCTGAGAAACTTCATTCTGACGTGGGCATTAACCTCAGAGAATTTAACCTTTCTTTGGATTGAGAAGTATGGAAACGGTCGTCTTTTAGAATCGGGAAAGGGATATTTCTTAGCCCTTTGAGGCCTACGGTGAAACTGGAAATATCTTCACATGAAAAGTAGACCGAAGCATTCCGAGGAACTTCTTTGTGATGTCTCCATTCATCTGACAGAGTTGAAGGTTTCTTTTAATTCAGCACTGTGGAAACCGTATTTTTGCAGAATCTGCAAAGGGATATTTTTGAGACCTTTGAAGCCTACAGTGAAATAGTAAATATCTTCACATAGAAACTAGACAGGAGCTTTCTGAGAAACTTCTTTGTGATGTGTGCATTCATCTCACAGTGTTGAAACTTTATTTTATTTGAGCAGCTTAGAGACAGTCTTTTTCTGCAATCTGCAAAGGCATATTTCTGAGCCATTTGAGGTCTGTGGTGAAAGAGAAATATCTTCACATTTAAACTAGACAGAAGAATTCTGAGAAACTTCTTTATGACGTGTGCATTCATCTCAGGTAGGTGAAATTTTCTTTTGATGGAGCAGTTTGGAAACAGTCTTTTTCTAGTATCTGCAGAAGGATATTTGTGAGCGGTGTAAGGACTATGCTGAAAAAGCAAATATCTTCACATAAAAACTAGACAGAAGATTTCTGAGAAACTTTTTTGTGATGGGTGCTTTCATCTCACAGAGTTGAAAGTTTCTTTTGATTGAGCAGTTTGGAAACAGTCTTTTCGTATCATCTGCAAAGGGATGTTTGGAGCGCTTTGTGGCCTAAGGTGAAAATGGAAATATCTTCACATAAAATCTAGACAGAAGCATTCTGAGAAACTTTCTTTGTGATGTGTTCATTCATCTCACAATGTTGAACGTTTCTTTTGATTGAGAGGTTTGTAAACAGAACTTTTGTAGAATCTGCAAAGGGATATTTGTGAGCCCCTTGATTCCTATGGCAAAATAGGAATTATCTTGAGATAAAAACTAGACAGAAGAATTCTGAGAAACTTCTCTTTGATGAGTGCATTCATTTCACATAGTTGAAAAATGCTATATGGGCCAGTTTGGAAACAGTCTTTTTGTAGTGTCTGCAGACAGATATTTTTGAGTGGCTTAAAGACTGTGGTGAAAAAAGAAATATCTTCACAGAGTAACCAGACAGAGGCTTTCCGAGAAACTTCTTTGTGATGTGTGCTTTCGTCTCACAGAGTTGCGCCTTTCTGTTGATTGACCAGTTTGGGAACATTCTTTTTGTAGAATCTGCAAATGGATATTTGGAGCAATTTGTGGCCTATGGTGAAAAAGGAAATATCTTCACATAAAAACTAGACAGGAGCATTTTGAGAAACTTCTTTTTGATGTGTGTATTCATCTCACAGAGTTGAACCTTTCTTTTCATTTAGCAATTTGGAGAAAGTCTCTTGGTAGTATAAGTGGAGTTATATTTGCGAGCGGTTTAAGGCCTATGGTGCCAAAGGAAATACCTTGACATAAAATGCAGACAGAAGCTGTTTGAGAAAACTCTTTGTGACATTTCCATTCATCTCTAATAGTTGGCCATTTCCTTTCATTGAGCAGTTTGGAAGCAGTCTTTTTCTACAAACTGCAAAGGGATATTTCTGAGCGGTTTGGGGCCAACGGTGAAAAATAAATATCTTCCCATGAAAACTAGACAGAAGCTTTCTGACAAATTTCTTAGTGATGTGCACGTTTGTCACACGGAATTGAACCCTTCTTCTGATTGAGCAGTTTGGAATCAGTCTTTTTGTAGAATCTGTGAATGTGTATTTAGAGAGTTTTAAGGCCTAGGGTGCAAGAGGCAATGTCTTCACATAAAAACGACACAGTAGCTTTCTGAGAAACTTCTTTGTGATGTGTCCATTCATCGCACAGAGTGGAACCTTTCTTTTGATTGAGGAGTTTGTAAAATGTCTTTTCTTAGAATCTGCAAAGGGATATTTGTGAGCCCTTTATGGCCTTTGTTGAAATATGAAATATCTTCACATAAAAAGTAGACAGAAGATTTCTGAGAAACTTCTTTGTGATGTGTGAATTCATGTCACAGAATTCAACCTTTCTTTTGATTCAGCAGTTGGAGACAGTCTTTTGTAGAAGCTGCAAAGGGAAATTTCTTAGACCTTTGAGGCCTATGGTGAAAAAGAAATATCTTCACATAAAAACTAGACAGAAGATTTCTGAGAAACTTCTTTGTGATGTGTGCCTTCATCTCACTGTGTTGAACCTTTCTTTTGATTGAGCAGTTTGGGAAGTCTTTCTGTAGAATCTGCAAATGGATATTTGGAGATATTTGAGGTCCTTGGTGAAAAAGGAAGTATCTTCACATAAAAACTAGACAGAATCATTCCGAGAAATTTTTTGTGATGTGTCCATTCACGTCACAGAGTTGAACCTTTCTTTTGATTGAGCAGTTTGGAAACTGTCTTTTTGTAGAACCTGCAAAGGGATATTTGTGAGCCCCTTATGGCCTGTGGTGAAATACGAAGTATCTTCACACAAAAACTAGACAGGAGCTTTCTGAGAAACTTCCTTGTGATGTGTGCATTCACCTCACAGAGTTGAACCTTTCTTTTGATTGAGCAGGTTGGAAAGAGGCTTATTGTACAATCCGCAAAGGGATAATTCTGATCCATTTGAGGCCTATGGTGAAAGAGAAATATCTTCACATAAAAACTAGACAGAAGCTTTCTAAGAAACTTCGGTGTGATGTGTGCTTTCATCTCACAGAATTGAAACTTTCTTTTGATTGAGGAGTTTGGAAACACTCTTTTTCTATAATCTGCAAATGGATATTTGGAGAGATTTTGAGGCCCATGTGGAAAAACGAAACATCTTCGCGTAAAAACTAAACAGAAACATTCTGAGGAACTTCTTTGTGATGTGTGCATTCATCTCACATAGTTGAAACTTTCTTTGGATTGAGCAGTTTTGAAACAGTCCTTTTGTAGAATCTGCCAAGGGATACTTCTGAGCCCATTGAGTACTATGATGCACTGTGAAGTATCTTCACATAAAAACTAGACAGAAGTTTTCTGAGAAACTCCTTTTCGATGTGTCCGTTAATCTAACAGAGTTAAAACTTTCTTTTTATTGAGCAGTTTGGATACAGTCTTTTTGTAGAATCTGCAAAACATATTTGCGAGCCCTTTATTGCCTATGGTGAAATAGGAATCTTCTTCACATATAAACTAGACAGAAGCTTTCTGAGAAACTTCATTGAGATGTGTGCTTTCACCTCACAGAGTTAAACACTTTCTTTTGATTGAGCTGTTTGGAAACACTCTTTTTGTGAAATCTGTAAATAGTTATTAAGACTGATATGAGGCCAATGGTGGCAAAGGAAATATCTTTACATAAAAACTAAACAGAAGAATTCTGAGAAACTTCATTCTGACGTGGGCATTAACCTCAGAGAATTTAACCTTTCTTTGGATTCAGAAGTATGGAAACGGTCGTCTTTTAGAATCTGGAAAGGGATATTTCTTAGCCCTTTGAGGCCTACGGTGAAACTGGAAATATCTTCACATGAAAAGTAGACCGAAGCATTCCGAGGAACTTCTTTGTGATGTCTCCATTCATCTGACAGAGTTGAAGGTTTCTTTTAATTCAGCACTGTGGAAACCATATTTTTGTAGAATCTGCAAAGGGATATTTTTGAGACCTTTGAAGCCTATAGTGAAATAGTAAATATCTTCACATAGAAACTAGACAGGAGCTTTCTGAGAAACTTCTTTGTGATGTGTGCATTCATCTCACAGTGTTGAAACTTTATTTTATTTGAGCAGTTTAGAGACAGTCTCTTTCTGCAATCTGCAAAGGTATATTTCTGAGCCATTTGAGGTCTGTGGTGAAAAAGGATTATCTTCACATTTAAACTAGACAGAAGAATTCTGAGAAACTTCTTTGTGATGTGTGCATTCATCTCAGGTAGGTGAAATTTTCTTTTGATGGAGCAGTTTGGAAACAGTCTTTTTCTAGTATCTGCAGAAGGATATTTGTGAGCGGTGTAAGGACTACGCTGAAAAAGGAAATATCTACACATAAAAACTAGAGAGAAGATTTCTGAGAAACTTTTTTGTGATGGGTGCTTTCATCTCACAGAGTTGAAAATTTCTTTTGATTGAGCAGTTTGGAAACAGTCTTTTCGTATCATCTGCAAAGGGATGTTTGGAGCGCTTTGTGGCCTAAGGTGAAAATGGAAATATCTTCACATAAAATCTAGACAGAAGCATTCTGAGAAACTTCTTTGTGATGTGTTCATTCATCTCACAATGTTGAACGTTTCTTTTGATTGAGAGGTTTGTAAACAGAACTTTTGTAGAATCTGCAAAGGGATATTTGTGAGCCCCTTGATTCCTATGGCAAAATAGGAATTATCTTGTCATAAAAACTAGACAGGAGAATTCTGAGAAACTTCTTTGTGATGAGTGCATTCAACTCACATAGTTGAAACATTCTATATGGACCAGTTTGGAAACAGTCTTTTTGTAGTACCTGCAGAGGGATATTTTTGAGTGGTTTAAAGACTATGGTGAAAAAGGAAATATCTTCACATAATAACCAGACAGAAGCTTTCTGAGAAACTTCTTTGTGATGTGTGCTTTCGTCTCACAGAGTTGAGCCTTTCTTTTGATTGACCAGTTTGGAAACATTCTTTCTGTAGAATCCGCAAATGGATATTTGGAGCAATTTGCGGCCTACGGTGAAGAAGGAAATATCTTCACATAAAAACTAGACAGAAGCATTTTGAGAAACTTCTTTTTGATGTGTGTATTCATCTCCCAGAGTTGAACGTTTCTTTTGATTTAGCAATTTGGAGAAAGTCTCTTGGTAGTATAAGCGGAGTTATGTTTGTGAGTGGTTTAAGGCCTACGGTGCCAAAGGAAATACCTTCACATAAAATGCAGACAGAAGCTTTTTGAGAAAACTCTTTGTGACATGTCCATTCATCTCTAATAGTTGACCATTTCTTCTCATTGAGCAGTTTGGAAACAGTCTTTTCCTACAAACTGCAAAGGGACATTTCTGAGCCGTTTGGGGCCAATGGTGAAAAATAAATATCTTCACATGAAAACTAGACAAAAGCTTTCTGACAAATTGCTTTGTGATGTGCAAGTTTGTCACACGGAATTGAACTTTTCTTCTGATTGAGCAGTTTGGAATCAGTCTTTTTGTAGAATCTGTGAATGTATATTTAGAGAGTTTTAAGGCCTAGAGTGAAAAAGGAAACGTCTTCACATAAAAACGACACAGTAGCTTTCTGAGAAACTTCTTTGTGATGTGTCCATTCATCGCACAGAGTGAAACCTTTCTTTTGATTGAGGAGTTTGGAAAATGTCTTTTCTTAGAATCTGCAAAGGGATATTTGTGAGCCCTTTATGGCCTTTGTTGAAATATGAAATGTCTTCACGTAAAAAGTAGACAGAAGATTTCTGAAAAACCTCTTTGTGATGTGTGAATTCATGTCACAGAATTCAACCTTCCTTTCAGTTGAGCAGTTTGGAACCAGTCTTTTGTAGAAGCTGCAGAGGGAAATTTCTTAGCTGCTTGAGGCCTATGGTGAACAAGAAATAGCCTCACATGTAAAGTAGACAGA
>NC_000013.11:16228627-16249297 GCF_000001405.40 Homo sapiens
TGCATTCTCAGAAAGTTCTTTGTGATGTGTGCATTCAAATCACAGATTTGAACATACCTTGTCATAGAGCAGTTTTGAAACACTCGTTTCGTAGAATCTGCAACTGGGTATTTGGACTTCTTTGAGGCCTTCGTCGGAAACGGGAATATCTTCACATAAGAACTAGACAGAAGAATTCTGGGGAATTTCTTTGTGATGTGTGCATTCAACTCACAGAGTTGAACCTTTCTGTTGATAGAGCAGTTTGGAAACACTCTTTTCGCAAAATCTGCAGAGTGGATATTTGTACTGCTTAGAGGCCTTCGTTGGAAACGGGAATATCTCCACATAAAAACTAGACAGAAGCATTCTCAGAAACTTCTTTGTGATCTGCACATTCAACACAAAGAGTAGAATCTTCCTTTTGATAGAGCAGTTTTTAAACACTCTTTTTGTAGAATCTGCAAGTGGACATTTGGAAAGCTTTGAGGCCTGTGGTGGAAAAGGAAATACCTTCACATAAAAACCAGACGGAAGCATTCTCAGAAACTTCTTTGTATTGTTTGCATTCAACCCACTGAGTTGAACACACCTTTTCACAGAGCAGTTTTGAAACACTCTTTTTGTAGAATCTGCAAGTGGATATATGGAGTGCTTTGAGGCCTTCTTTGTAAACGGGAATATCTTCACATAAAAACTAGAGAGAAGCATTCTCAGAGCCTTCTTTGTGATGTGTGCATTCAACTCACAGAGCTGAACCTTTCTTTTGATAGAGGTGTTTGAAGCACTGTTTTTTTAGAATCTGCAAGTGGATATATTGAGTGCTTTGAGGCCTTCTTTGTAAACGGGAATATCTTCACATAAAAACTAGAGAGAAGCATTCTCAGAGCCTTCTTTGTGATGTGTGCATTCAACTCACAGAGCTGAACCTTTCTTTTCATAGAGCTGTTTGGAAGCACTGTTTTTTTAGAATCCGCATGTGGAAATTTTCAGAGCTTCGAGGCCTGTGGTGGAGAAGGAAATATCTTCACATAAAAACTAGACAGAAGCATTCTCAGAAACTTGTTTGTGACGTTTGCATTCAACTCACAGAGTTGAACATACCTTTTCATAGAGCAGTTTTGAAACACTCTTTTCGTAGGATCTGCAAGTGGATATTTGGACTGCTTTGAGGCCTTCGTTGGAAAGAGGAATATCTTCACATAAAAACTAGACGGAAGCATTCTCAGAAACTTCTTTGTGATGTGTGAATTCAACTCACAGAGTTGAAGCTTCCTATTGATAGAGCAGTTTTGAAAAACCGTTTTTGTAGAATCTGCCAGTGGATATTTGGAGAGCTTTGAGGCCTACGGTGGAAAAGGAAATATCTTCACATAAAAACCAGACACAAAGATTCTCAGAAACTTCTTTGTGACGCTTGCACTCAACTCACAGAGTTGAACACACCTTTTCATAGAGCAGTTTTGAAGCACTCTTTTCGTAGAATCTGCAAGTGTATATTTGGAATGCTTTGAGGCCTTCATTGTAAACGAGAATATCTTCACATAAAAACGAGACAGAAGAATTCTCAGCAACTACTTTGTGATGATTGCATTCAACTCACTGTGTTAATCTTTATTTTGATAGGGCAGTTTTGAAACACTGTTTTTGTAGCATCTGCAAGTGGTCATTTGGAGAGCTTTGAGGCCTATGGTGGAAAAGGAAATATCTTCACATAAAAACAGGACAGAAGCATTTTCAGAATCTCCGCTGTGATGTTTGCATTGAACTCACAGAGTTGAACGTCCCTTTTCATAGAGCAGTTTTGAAACACTCTTCGTAGAATCTGCCAGTGGATATTTGGACTGATTTGAGGCCTTTGTTGGACACGGGAATATCTTCATATAAAAACTAGAAAGAAGAATTCTCAGAAACTTCTTTGTGATGTGTGCATTCAACTCAGAGAGTTGAACTTTTCTTTTGATAGAGCAGTTTTGAAACAGACTTTTTGCAGAATCTGCAAGTGGACATTTGGGAAGCTTTGAGGCCTATGGTGGAAAATGATATACCTTCACATAAAAACCAGACAGATGCATTTTCAGAAACTTCTTTGCGATGTTTGCATTCAACTCACAGTGTTAACCTTTATTTTCATAGAACAGTTTTGAAACACTGTTTTTGTAGCATCTGCAAGTGGTCATTTGGAGAGCTTTGAGGCCTATTGTGGAAAAGGAAATATCTCCACATAAAAACTGGACAGAAGCATTCTCAGAATCTCCTCTGTGATGTTTGCATTCAACTCACAGAGTTGAACATACCTTTTCATAGAGCAGTTTTGAAACACTCTTTTCGTAGAATCCACAAGTGGTTATTTGGACTGATTTGAGGCCTTTGTTGGAAACGGGAATACCTTCACATAAAATCTAGAAAGAAGAATTCTCAGAAACTTCTTTGTGATATGTGCATTCAACTCAGAGAGTTGAACTTTTCTTTTCATAGAGCAGTTTTGAAACAGACTTTTTGTAGAATCTGCAAGTGGACATTTGGGAAGCTTTGAGGCCTATGGTGGAAAATGATATACCTTCACATAAAAAGAAGACAGAAGCATTTTCAGAAACTTCTTTGTGATGTTTGCATTCAACTCACAGAGATGAAATACCTTTTCATAGCGCAGTTTTGAAAAAATCTTTTCGTAGTATCTGCAAGGGGATATTTGGACTGCTTTGAGGCCTTCAGTGGAAACAGAAATATCTTAACATAAAAATTAGACAGAAGCATTCTCAGAAACTTCTTTGTGATGAGGCCATTCAACTCACAGAGCTGAACCACTCTTTTGAAGGAGCAGTTTGAAACATTCTTTTTGTAGAATCTGCAAGTGGACATTTGGAGAGCTTTGAGGCCTACAGTGGAAAAAGAAATATCTTCACATAAAAACTGGACAGAAGCATTCTCAAAAACATCTTTGTGATATTTGCATTCAACTCACAGATTTGAAAATAACTTTTCGTAGAGCAGTTTTGAAACACTCTTTTTGTAGAATCTGCAAGAGGATATTTGGACTGCTTTAAGGACCTCGTTGGAAACGGGAATATCTTCACATAAAAACTAGACAGAAGCATTCTCAGAAACACCTTTGTGATGTGGGCATTCAACTCAGAGAGTTGAACCTTTCTTTTGATAGAGCAGTTTTGAAACACTGTTTTTATAGAATCTGCAAGTGGACATTTGGAGACTTTTGAAGCATATGGTGGAAATGGAAATACCTTCCCATGAAAACTAGACAGAAACATTCTCAGTACCTACTTTGTTATGTTTGCATTCAACTCACAGAGATGGACATACCTTTTCATAGAGCAGTTTTGGAAAACTCTTTTGGTAGAATATGCAAATGGATAATTGGAACGCTTTCAGGCCTTCGTTGGAAATGTGAATATCTTCAAATAAAAACTAGACAAAAGCATTCTCAGAAACTTCTTTGTGATGTGGGCATTCAACTCACAGGCTTGAACCTTTCCTTTCATAGAGCAGTCTTGAAACACTCTTTTTGAAGAATCAGCAAGTGGACATTTGGAGAGCTTTGAGGCCTATGGTGAGAAAGAAAATATCTTCACATAAAAACCAGACAGAAGCATTCTGAGAAACTTCTTTGTGCTGTTTGCATTCAACTCACAAAGTTGAAAATACCTTTTCATAGAGGAGTTTTGAAACACTCTTTTCGTACAATCTGCAAGTGGATATTTGGACTGCTTTTAGGTTTTCTTTGGAAACAGGAATATCTTTACATAAAAACTAGACAGATGCATTCTCAGAAAGTTGTTGGTGATGTGTGCATTCAACTCACAGATATGAACATACCTTGTCATAGAGCAGTTTTGAAACACTCGTTTCGTAGAATCTGCAAGTGGATATTTGGACTGCTTTGAGGCCTTCGTCGGAAACGGGAATATCTTCACATAAGAACTAGACAGAAGAATTCTGGGAAATTTCTTTGTGATGTGTGCATTCAACTCACAGAGTTGAACCTTTCTGTTGATAGAGCAGTTTGGAAACACTCTTTTCGCAAAATCTGCAAAGTGGATATTTGTACTGCTTAGAGGCCTTCGTTGGAAACGGGAATATCTCCACATAAAAACTAGACAGAAGCATTCTCAGAAACTTCTTTGTGATCTGCACATTCAACACAAAGAGTTGAGTCTTCCTTTTGATAGAGCAGTTTTTAAACACTCTTTTTGTAGAATCTGCAAGTGGACATTTGGAAAGCTTTGAGGCCTGTGGTGGAAAAGGAAATACCTTCACATAAAAACCAGATGGAAGCATTCTCAGAAACTTCTTTGTATTGTTTGCATTCAACCCACAGAGTTGAACATACCTTTTCACAGAGCAGTTTTGAAACACTCTTTTTGTAGAATCTGCAAGTGGATATACGGAGTGGTTTGAGGCCTTCTTTGTAAACGGGAATATCTTCACATAAAAACTAGAGAGAAGCATTCTCAGAGCCTTCTTTGTGATGTGTGCATTCAACTCACAGAGCTGAACCTTTCTTTTGATAGAGCTGTTTTGAAGCACTGTTTTTTTAGAATCTGCAGGTGGATATATGGAGTGCTTTGAGGCCTTCTTTGTAAACGGGAATATCTTCACATAAAAACTAGAGAGAAGCATTCTCAGAGCCTTCTTTGTGATGTGTGCATTCAACTCACAGAGCTGAACCTTTCTTTTGATAGAGCTGTTTTGAAGCACTGTTTTTATAGAATCTGCATGTGGAAATTTTCAGAGCTTCGAGGCCTGTGGTGGAGAAGGAAATATCTTCACATAAAAACTAGACAGAAGCATTCTCAGAAACTTGTTTGTGACGTTTGCATTCAACTCACAGAGTTGAACATACCTTTTCATAGAGCAATTTTGAAACACTCTTTTCGTAGGATCTGCAAATGGATATTTGGACTGCTTTGAGGCCTTCGTTGGAAAGAGGAATATCTTCACATAAAAACTAGACGGAAGCATTCTCAGAAACTTCTTTGTGATGTGTGAATTCAACTCACAGAGTTGAAGCTTTCTATTGATAGAGCAGTTTTGAAAAACCGTTTTTTGTAGAATCTGCCAGTGGACATTTGGAGAGCTTGGAGGCCTACGGTGGAAAAGGAAATATCTTCACATAAAAACCAGACACAAAGATTCTCAGAAACTTCTTTGTGACGCTTGCACTCAACTCACAGAGTTGAACACACCTTTTCATAGAGCAGTTTTGAAGCAGTCTTTTCGTAGAATCTGCAAGTGTATATTTGGAATGCTTTGAGGCCTTCATTGTAAACGAGAATATCTTCACATAAAAACGAGACAGAAGCATTCTCAGCAACTACTTTGTGATGATTGCATTCAACTCACTGTGTTAACCTTTATTTTGATAGGGCAGTTTTGAAACACTGTTTTTGTAGCATCTGCAAGTGGTCATTTGGAGAGCTTTGAGGCCTATGGTGGAAAAGGAAATATCTTCACATAAAAACAGGACAGAAGCATTTTCAGAATCTCCGCTCTGATGTTTGCATGGAACTCACACAGTTGAACGTCCCTTTTCATAGAGCAGTTTTGAAACACTCTTCGTAGAATCTGCCAGTGGATATTTGGACTGATTTGAGGCCTTTGTTGGACACGGGAGTATCTTCATATAAAAACTAGAAAGAAGAATTCTCAGAAACTTCTTTGTGATGTGTGCATTCAACTCAGAGAGTTGAACTTTTCTTTTGATAGAGCAGTTTTGAAACAGACTTTTTGCAGAATCTGCAAGTGGACATTTGGGAAGCTTTGAGGCCTATGGTGGAAAATGATATACCTTCACATAGAAACCAGACAGAAGCATTTTCAGAAACTTCTTTGCGATGTTTGCATTCAACTCACAGTGTTAACCTTTATTTTCATAGAACATTTTTGAAACACTCTTTTTGTAGCATCTGCAAGTGGTCATTTGGAGAGCTTTGAGGCCTATGGTGGAAAAGGAAATATCTCCACATAAAAACTGGACAGAAGCATTCTCAGAATCTCCTCTGTGATGTTTGCATTCAACTCACAGAGTTGAACATACCTTTTCATAGAGCAGTTTTGATACACTCCTTTCGTAGAATCCACAAGTGGATATTTGGACTGATTTGAGGCCTTTGTTGGAAACGGGAATACCTTCACATAAAATCTAGAAAGAAGAATTCTCAGAAACTTCTTTGTGATATGTGCATTCAACTCAGAGAGTTGAACTTTTGTTTTGATAGAGCAGTTTTGAAACAGACATTTGTAGAATCTGCAAGTGGACATTTGGGAAGCTTTGAGGCCTATGGTGGAAAATGATATACCTTCACATAAAAAGAAGACAGAAGCATTTTCAGAAACTTCTTTGTGATGTTTGCATTCAACTCACAGAGATGAAATACCTTTTCATAGCGCAGTTTTGAAAAACTCTTTTCGTAGTATCTGCAAGGGGATATTTGGACTGCTTTGAGGCCTTCAGTGGAAACAGAAATATCTTAACATAAAAATTAGACAGAAGCATTCTCACAAACTTCTTTGTGATGAGGCCATTCAACTCAAAGAGCTGAACCACTCTTTTGAAGGAGCAGTTTGAAACATTGTTTTTGTAGAATCTGCAAGTGCAAAGCCAAGAGAGCTTTGAGGCCTACAGTGGAAAAGGAAATATCTTCACATAAAAACTGGACAGAAGCATTCTCAAAAACATCTTTGTGATATTTGCATTCAACTCACAGAGTTGAAAATAACTTTTCGTAGAGCAGTTTTGAAACACTCTTTTTGTAGAATCTGCAAGAGGATATTTGGACTGCTTTAAGGACCTCGTTGGAAACGGGAATATCTTCACATAAAAAGTAGACAGAAGCATTCTCAGAAACACCTTTTTTGATGTGGGCATTCAACTCAGAGATTTGAACCTTTCTTTTGATAGAGCAGTTTTGAAGCACTTACTTTGTACAATCTGCAAGTGGACATTTGGAGAGCTTTGAGGCCTACGGTGGAAAAGGAAATAGCCTCACATAAAAACTAGATAGAAACATTCTCATTACCTACTTTGTTATGTTTGCATTCAACTCACAGAGATGGACATACCTTTTCATAGAGCAGTTTTGGAAAACTCTTTCGGTGGAATATGCAAATGGATAATTGGAACGCTTTCAGGCCTTCGTTGGAAATGTGAATATCTTCAAATAAAAACTAGACAAAAGCATTCTCAGAAACTTCTTTGTGATGTGGGCATTCAACTCACAGACTTGAACCTTTCTTTTCATAGAGCAGTCTTGAAACACTCTTTTTGAAGAATCGGCAAGTGGACATTTGGAGAGCTTTGAGGCCTATGGTGAGAAAGAAAATATCTTCACATAAAAACCAGACAGAAGCATTCTGAGAAACTTTTTTGTGCTGTTTGCATTCAACTCACAAAGTTGAAAATACCTTTTCATAGAGGAGTTTTGAAACACTCTTTTCGTAGAATCTGCAAGTGGATATTTGGACTGCTTTTAGGTTTTCTTTGGAAACAGGAATATCTTTACATAAAAACTAGACAGATGCATTCTCAGAAAGTTCTTTGTGATGTGTGCATTCAACTCACAGATTTGAACATACCTTGTCATAGAGCAGTTTTGAAACACTCGTTTCGTAGAATCTGCAAGTGGATATTTGGACTGCTTTGAGGCCTTCGTCGGAAACGGGAATATCTTCACATAAGAACTAGACAGAAGAATTCTGGGAAATTTCTTTGTGATGTGTGCATCCAACTCACAGAGTTGAACCTTTCTGTTGATAGAGCAGTTTGGAAACACTCTTTTGGCAAAATCTGCAGAGTGGATATTTGTACTGCTTAGAGGCCTTCGTTGGAAACGGGAATGTCTCCACATAAAAACTAGACAGAAGCATTCTCAGAAACTTCTTTGTGATCTGCACATTCAACACAAAGAGTTGAATCTTCCTTTTGAGAGAGCAGTTTTTAAACACTCTTTTTGTAGAATCTGCAAGTGGACATTTGGAAAGCTTTGAGGCCTGTGGTGGAAAAGGAAATACCTTCACATAAAAACCAGATGGAAGCATTCTCAGAAACTTCTTTGTATTGTTTGCATTCAACCCACAGAGTTGAACATACCTTTTCACAGAGCAGTTTTGAAACACTCCTTTTGTAGAATCTGTAAGTTGATATATGGAGTGCTTTGAGGCCTTCTTTGTAAACGGGAATATCTTCACATAAAAACTAGAGAGAAGCATTCTCAGAGCCTTCTTTGTGATGTGTGCATTCAACTCACAGAGCTGAACCTTTCTTTTGATAGAGCTGTTTTGAAGCACTGTTTTTTTAGAATCTGCAAGTGGATATATTGAGTGCTTTGAGGCCTTCTTTGTAAACGGGAATATCTTCACATAAAAACTAGAGAGAAGCATTCTCAGAGCCTTCTTTGTGATGTGTGCATTCAGCTCACGGAGCTGAACCTTTCTTTTGATAGAGCTGTTTTGAAGCACTGTTTTTTTAGAATCTGCATGTGGAAATTTTCAGAGCTTCGAGGCCTGTGGTGGAGAAGGAAATATCTTCACATAAAAACTAGACAGAAGCATTCTCAGAAACTTGTTTGTGACGTTTGCATTCAACTCACAGAGTTGAACATACCTTTTCATAGAGCAGTTTTGAAACACTCTTTTCGTAGGATCTGCAAATGGATATTTGGACTGCTTTGAGGCCTTCGTTGGAAAGAGGAATATCTTCACATAAAAACTAGAAGGAAGCATTCTCAGAAACTTCTTTGTGATGTGTGAATTCAACTCACAGAGTTGAAGCTTTCTATTGATAGAGCAGTTTTGAAAAACCGTTTTTGTAGAATCTGCCAGTGGATATTTGGAGAGCTTTGAGGCCTACGGTGGAAAAGGAAATATCTTCACATAAAAACCAGACACAAAGATTCTCAGAAACTTCTTTGTGACGTTTGCATTCAACTCACAGAGTTGAACACACCTTTTCATAGAGCAGTTTTGAAGCAGTCTTTTCGTAGAATCTGCAAGTGTATATTTGGAATGCTTTGAGGCCTTCATTGTAAACGAGAATATCTTCACATAAAAACGAGACAGAAGCATTCTCAGCAACTACTTTGTGATGATTGCATTCAACTCACTGTGTTAACCTTTATTTTGATAGGGCAGTTTGGAAACACTGTTTTTGTAGCATCTGCAAGTGGTCATTTGGAGAGCTTTGAGGCCTATGGTGGAAAAGGAAATATCTTCACATAAAAACAGGACAGAAGCATTTTCAGAATCTCCGCTGTGATGTTTGCATTCAACTCACAGAGTTGAACGTCCCTTTTCATAGGGCAGTTTTGAAACACTCTTCGTAGAATCTGCCAGTGGATATTTGGACTGATTGGAGGCCTTTGTTGGACACGGGAATATCTTCATATAAAAACTAGAAAGAAGAATTCTCAGAAACTTCTTTGTGATGTGTGCATTCAACTCAGCAGCAGTTGAACTTTTCTTTTGATAGAGCAGTTTTGAAACAGACTTTTTGCGGAATCTGCAAGTGGACATTTGGGAAGCTTTGAAGCCTATGGTGGAAAATGATATACCTTCACATAAAAACCAGACAGATGCATTTTCAGAAACTTCTTTGCGATGTTTGCATTCAACTCATAGTGTTAACCTTTATTTTCATAGAACAGTTTTGAAACACTGTTTTTGTAGCATCTGCAAGTGGTCATTTGGAGAGCTTTGAGGCCTATGGTGGAAAAGGAAATATCTCCACATAAAAACTGGACAGAAGCATTCTCAGAATCTCCTCTGTGATGTTTGCATTCAACTCACAGAGTTGAACATACCTTTTCATAGAGCAGTTTTGAAACACTCTTTTCGTAGAATCCACAAGTGGATATTTGGACTGATTTGAGGCCTTTGTTGGAAACGGGAATACCTTCACATAAAATCTAGAAAGAAGAATTCTCAGAAACTTCTTTGTGATGTGTGCATTCAACTCAGAGAGTTGAACTTTTCTTTTGATAGAGCAGTTTTGAAACAGACTTTTTGCAGAATCTGCAAGTGGACATTTGGGAAGCTTTGAGGCCTATGGTGGAAAATGATATACCTTCACATAAAAAGAAGACAGAAGCATTTTCAGAAACTTCTTTGTGATGTTTGCATTCAAGTCACAGAGATGAAATACCTTTTCATAGCGCAGTTTTGAAAACCTCTTTTCGTAGTATCTGCAAGGGGATATTTGGACTGCTTTGAGGCCTTCAGTGGAAACAGAAATATCTTAACATAAAAATTAGACAGAAGCATTCTCAGAAACTTCTTTGTGATGAGGCCATTCAACTCACAGAGCTGAACCAGTCTTTTGAAGGAGCAGTTTGAAACATTCTTTTTGTAGAATCTGCAAGTGCAAAGCCAAGAGAGCTTTGAGGCCTACAGTGGAGAAGGAAATATCTTCACATAAAAACTGGACAGAAGCATTCTCAAAAACATCTTTGTGATATTTGCATTCAACTCACAGAGTTGAAAATAACTTTTCATAGAGCAGTTTTGAAACACTCTTTTTGTAGAATCTGCAAGAGGATATTTGGACTGCTTTAAGGACCTCGTTGGAAACGGGAATATCTTCACATAAAAACTAGACAGAAGCATTCTCAGAAACACCTTTGTGATGTGGGCATTCAACTCAGAGAGTTGAACCTTTCTTTTGATAGAGCTGTTTTGAAACACTGTTTTTATAGAATCTGCAAGTGGACATTTGGAGACTTTTGAAGCATATGGTGGAAATGGAAATACCTTCCCATGAAAACTAGACAGAAACATTCTCAGTACCTACTTTGTTATGTTTGCATTCAACTCACAGAGATGGACATACCTTTTCATAGAGCAGTTTTGGAAAACTCTTTTGGTGGAATATGCAAATGGATAATTGGAACGCTTTCAGGCCTTCGTTGGAAATGTGAATATCTTCAAATAAAAACTAGACAAAAGCATTCTCAGAAACTTCTTTGTGATGTGGGCATTCAACTCACAGACTTGAACCTTTCTTTTCATAGAGCAGTCTTGAAACACTCTTTTTGAAGAATCGGCAAGTGGACATTTGGAGAGCTTTGAGGCCTATGGTGAGAAAGAAAATATCTTCACATAAAAGCCAGACAGAAGCATTCTGAGAAACTTCTTTGTGCTGTTTGCATTCAACTCACAAAGTTGAAAATACCTTTTCATAGAGGAGTTTTGAAACACTCTTTTCATAGAATCTGCAAGTGGATATTTGGACTGCTTTTAGGTTTTCTTTGGAAACAGGAATATCTTTACATAAACACTAGACAGATGCATTCTCAGAAAGTTCTTTGTGATGTGTGCATTCAACTCACAGATTTGAACATATCTTGTCATAGAGCAGTTTTGAAACACTCGTTTCGTAGAATCTGCAAGTGGATATTTGGACTGCTTTGAGGCCTTCGTCGGAAACGGGAATATCTTCACATAAGAACTAGACAGAAGAATTCTGGGAAATTTCTTTGTGATGTGTGCATGCAACTCACAGAGTTGAAACTTTCTGTTGATAGAGCAGTTTGGAAACACTCTTTTCGCAAAATCTGCAAAGTGGATATTTGTATTGCTTAGAGGCCTTCGTTGGAAACGGGAATATCTCCACATAAAAACTAGACAGAAGCATTCTCAGAAACTTCTTTGTATTGTTTGCATTCAACCCACAGAGTTGAACATACCTTTTCACAGAGCAGTTTTTAAACACTCTTTTTGTAGAATCTGCAAGTGGACATTTGGAAAGCTTTGAGGCCTGTGGTGGAAAAGGAAATACCTTCACATAAAAACCAGATGGAAGCATTCTCAGAAACTTCTTTGTATTGTTTGCATTCAACCCACAGAGTTGAACATACCTTTTCACAGAGCAGTTTTGAAACACTCTTTTTGTAGAATCTGCAAGTGGATATATGGAGTGCTTTGAGGCCTTCTTTGTAAACGGGAATATCTTCACATAAAAACTAGAGAGAAGCATTCTCAGAGCCTTCTTTGTGATGTGTGCATTCAACTCACAGAGCTGAACCTTTCTTTTGATAGAGCTGTTTTGAAGCACTGTTTTTTTAGAATCTGCAAGTGAATATATTGAGTGCTTTGAGGCCTTCTTTGTAAACGGGAATATCTTCACATAAAAACTAGAGAGAAGCATTCTCAGAGCCTTCTTTGTGATGTGTGCATTCAACTCACAGAGCTGAACCTTTCTTTTGATAGAGCTGTTTTGAAGCACTGTTTTTTTAGAATCTGCATGTGGAAATTTTCAGAGCTTCGAGGCCTGTGGTGGAGAAGGAAATATCTTCACATAGAAACTAGACAGAAGCATTCTCAGAAACTTGTTTGTGACGTTTGCATTCAACTCACAGAGTTGAACATACCTTTTCATAGAGCAGTTTTGAAACACTCTTTTCGTAGGATCTGCAAATGGATATTTGGACTGCTTTGAGGCCTTCGTTGGAAAGAGGAATATCTTCACATAAAAACTAGACGGAAGCATTCTCAGAAACTTGTTTGTGATGTGTGAATTCAACTCACAGAGTTGAAGCTTTCTATTGATAGAGCAGTTTTGAAAAACCGTTTTTGTAGAATCTGCCAGTGGACATTTGGAGAGCTTGGAGGCCTACGGTGGAAAAGGAAATATCTTCACATAAAAACCAGACACAAAGATTCTCAGAAACTTCTTTGTGACGTTTGCATTCAACTCACAGAGTTGAACACACCTTTTCATAGAGCAGTTTTGAAGCACTCTTTTCGTAGAATCTGCAAGTGTATATTTGGAATGCTTTGAGGCCTTCATTGTAAACGACAATATCTTCACATGAAAACGAGACAGAAGCATTCTCAGCAACTACTTTGTGATGATTGCATTCAACTCACTGTGTTAACCTTTATTTTGATAGGGCAGTTTGTAAACACTGTTTTGGTAGCATCTGCAAGTGTTCATTTGGAGAGCTTTGAGGCCTATGGTGGAAAATGATATACCTTCACATATAAACCAGACAGAAACATTTTCAGAATCTCCGCTGTGATGTTTGCATTGAACTCACAGAGTTGAACGTCCCCTTTCATAGAGCAGTTTTGAAACACTTTTCGTAGAATCTGCCAGTGGATATTTGGACTGATTGGAGGCCTTTGTTGGACACGGGAATATCTTCATATAAAAACTAGAAAGAAGAATTCTCAGAAACTTCTTTGTGATGTGTGCATTCAACTCAGAGAGTTGAACTTTTCTTTTGATAGAGCAGTTTTGCAACAGACTTTTTGCAGAATCTGCAAGTGGACATTTGGGAAGCTTTGAGGCCTATGGTGGAAAATGATATACCTTCACATAAAAACCAGACAGAAGCATTCTCAGCAACTAATTTGTGATGATTGCATTCAACTCACAGTGTTAACCTTTATTTTCATAGAACAGTTTTGAAACACTGTTTTTGTAGCATCTGCAAGTGGTCATTTGGAGAGCTTTGAGGCCTATGGTGGAAAAGGAAATATCTCCACATAAAAACTGGACAGAAGCATTCTCAGAATCTCCTCTGTGATGTTTGCATTCAACTCACTCAGTTGAACATACCTTTTCATAGAGCAGTTTTGAAACACTCTTTTCGTAGAATCCACAAGTGGATATTTGGACTGATTTGAGGCCTTTGTTGGAAACGGGAATACCTTCACATAAAATCTAGAAAGAAGAATTCTCAGAAACTTCTTTGTGATATGTGCATTCAACTCAGAGAGTTGAACTTTTCTTTCGATAGAGCAGTTTTGAAACAGACTTTTTGTAGAATCTGCAAGTGGACATTTGGGAAGCTTTGAGGCCTATGGTGGAAAATGATATACCTTCACATAAAAAGAAGACAGAAGCATTTTCAGAAACTTCTTTGTGATGTTTGCATTCAACTCACAGAGATGAAATACCTTTTCATAGCGCAGTTTTGAAAAACTCTTTCCGTAGTATCTGCAAGGGGATATTTGGACTGCTTTGAGGCCTTCAGTGGAAACAGAAATATCTTAACATAAAAATTAGACAGAAGCATTCTCAGAAACTTCTTTGTGATGAGGCCATTCAACTCACAGAGCTGAACCACTCTTTTGAAGGAGCAGTTTGAAACATTCTTTTTGTAGAATCTGCAAGTGCAAAGCCAAGAGAGCTTTGAGGCCTACAGTGGAAAAGGAAATATCTTCACATAAAAACTGAACAGAAGCATTCTCAAAAACATCTTTGTGATATTTGCATTCAACTCACAGAGTTGAAAATAACTTTTCGTAGAGCAGTTTTGAAACACTCTTTTTGTAGAATCTGCAAGAGGATATTTGGACTGCTTTAAGGACCTCGTTGGAAACGGGAATATCTTCACATAAAAACTAGAGAGAAGCATTCTCCGAAACACCTTTGTGATGGGGGCATTCAACACAGAGAGTTGAACCTTTCTTTTGATAGAGCAGTTTTGAAACACTGTTTTTATAGAATCTGCAAGTGGACATTTGGAGACTTTTGAAGCATATGGTGGAAATGGAAATACCTTCCCATGAAAACTAGACAGAAACATTCTCAGTACCTACTTTGTTATGTTTGCATTCAACTCACAGAGATGGACATACCTTTTCATAGAGCAGTTTTGGAAAACTCTTTTGGTAGAATATGCAAATGCATAATTGGAACGCTTTCAGGCCTTCGTTGGAAATGTGAATATCTTCAAATAAAAACTAGACAAAAGCATTCTCAGAAACTTCTTTGTGATGTGGGCATTCAACTCACAGACTTGAACCTTTCTTTTCATAGAGCAGTCTTGAAACACTCTTTTTGAAGAATCTGCAAATGGACATTTGGAGAGCTTTGAGGCCTATGGTGAGAAAGAAAATATCTCCACATAAAAACCAGACAGAAGCATTCTGAGAAACTTCTTTGTGCTGTTTGCATTCAACTCACAAAGTTGAAAATACCTTTTCATAGAGGAGTTTTGAAACACTCTTTTCGTAGAATCTGCAAGTGGATATTTGGACTGCTTTTAGGTTTTCTTTGGAAACAGGAATATCTTTACATAAACACTAGACAGATGCATTCTCAGAAAGTTCTTTGTGATGTGTGCATTCAACTCACAGATTTGAACATACCTTGTCATAGAGCAGTTTTGAAACACTCGTTTCGTAGAATCTGCAAGTGGATATTTGGACTGCTTTGAGGCCTTCATCGGAAACGGGAATATCTTCACATAAGAACTAGACAGAAGAATTCTGGGAAATTTCTTTGTGATGTGTGCATTCAACTCACAGAGTTGAACCTTTCTGTTGATAGAGCAGTTTGGAAACACTCTTTTCGCAAAATCTGCAGAGTGGATATTTGTACTGCTTAGAGGCCTTCGTTGGAAACGGGAATATCTCCACATAAAAACTAGACAGAAGCATTCTCAGAAACTTCCTTGTATTGTTTGCATTCAACCCACAGAGTTGAACATACCTTTTCACAGAGCAGTTTTTAAACACTCTTTTTGTAGAATCTGCAAGTGGACATTTGGAAAGCTTTCAGGCCTGTGGTGGAAAAGGAAATACCTTCACATAAAAACCAGATGGAAGCATTCTCAGAAACTTCTTTGTATTGTTTGCATTCAACCCACAGAGTTGAACATACCTTTTCACAGAGCAGTTTTGAAACACTCTTTTTGTAGAATCTGCAAGTGGATATATGGAGTGCTTTGAGGCCTTCTTTTTAAACGGGAATATCTTCACATAAAAACTAGAGAGAAGCATTCTCAGAGCCTTCTTTGTGATGTGTGCATTCAACTCACAGAGCTGAACCTTTCTTTTGATAGAGCTGTTTTGAAGCACTGTTTTTTTAGAATCTGCAAGTGGATATATGGAGTGCTTTGAGGCCTTCTTTGTAAACGGGAATATCTTCACATAAAAACTAGAGAGAAGCATTCTCAGAACCTTCTTTGTGATGTGTGCATTCAACTCACGGAGCTGAACCTTTCTTTTGATAGAGCTGTTTTGAAGCACTGTTTTTTTAGAATCTGCATGTGGAAATTTTCAGAGCTTCGAGGCCTGTGGTGGAGAAGGAAATATCTTCACATAAAAACTAGACAGAAGCATTCTCAGAAATTTGTTTGTGACGTTTGCATTCAACTCACAGAGTTGAACATACCTTTTCATAGAGCAGTTTTGAAACACTCTTTTCGTAGGATCTGCAAATGGATATTTGGACTGCTTTGAGGCCTTCGTTGGAAAGAGGAATATCTTCACATAAAAACTAGACGGAAGCATTCTCAGAAACTTCTTTGTGATGTTTGAATTCAACTCTCAGAGTTGAAGGTTTCTATTGATAGAGCAATTTTGAAAAACCGTTTTTGTAGAATCTGTCAGTGGACATTTGGAGAGCTTGGAAGCCTGCGGTGGAAAAGGAAATATCTTCACATAAAAACCAGACACAAGAATTCTCAGAAACTTCTTTGTGATGTTTGCATTCAACGAAGAGAGTTGAACATACCTTTTCATAGAGCAGTTTTGAAACACTCTTTTCGTAGAATCTGCAAGTGTATATTTGGACTGCTTTGAGGCCTTCATTGTAAACGAGAATATCTTCACATAAAAACGAGACAGAAGCATTCTCAGCAACTACTTTGTGATGATTGCATTCAACTCACTGTGTTAACCTTTATTTTGATAGGGCAGTTTTGAAACACTGTTTTTGTAGCATCTGCAAGTGGTCATTTGGAGAGCTTTGAGGCCTATGGTGG
Source organism: Homo sapiens (assembly GCF_000001405.40). Lineage (NCBI taxonomy): Eukaryota > Metazoa > Chordata > Mammalia > Primates > Hominidae > Homo > Homo sapiens. The sequence goes on from NC_000013.11 coordinate 16,245,337, forward strand.
AAAAAGAAATATCTTCACATAAAAACAGGACAGAAGCATTTTCAGAATCTCCGCTGTGATGTTTGCATTGAACTCACAGAGTTGAACGTCCCCTTTCATAGAGCAGTTTTGAAACACTCTTCGTAGAATCTGCCAGTGGATATTTGGACTGATTTGAGGCCTTTGTTGGACACGGGAATATCTTCATATAAAAACTAGAAAGAAGCATTCTCAGCAACTACTTTGTGATGATTGCATTCAACTCACTGTGTTAACCTTTATTTTGATAGGGCAGTTTGTAAACACTGTTTTGGTAGCATCTGCAAGTGTTCTTTTGGAGAGCTTTGAGGCCTATGGTGGAAAATGATATACCTTCACATATAAACCAGACAGAAGCATTTTCAGAAACTTCTTTGCGATGTTTGCATTCAACTCACAGTGTTAACCTTTATTTTCATAGAACAGTTTTGAAACACTGTTTTTGTAGCATCTGCAAGTGGTCATTTGGAGAGCTTTGAGGCCTATGGTGGAAAAGGAAATATCTCCACATAAAAACTGGACAGAAGCATTCTCAGAATCTCCTCTGTGAAGTTTGCATTCAACTCACAGAGTTGAACATACCTTTTCATAGAGCAGTTTTGAAACACTCTTTTCGTAGAATCCACAAGTGGATATTTGGACTGATTTGAGGCCTTTGTTGGAAACGGGAATACCTTCACATAAAATATAGAAAGAAGAATTCTCAGAAACTTCTTTGTGATATGTGCATTCAACTCAGAGAGTTGAACTTTTCTTTTGATAGAGCAGTTTTGAAACAGACTTTTTGTAGAATCTGCAAGTGGACATTTGGGAAGCTTTGAGGCCTATGGTGGAAAATGATATACCTTCACATAAAAAGAAGACAGAAGCATTTTCAGAAACTTCTTGTGATGTTTGCATTCAAGTCACAGAGATGAAATACCTTTTCATAGCGCAGTTTTGAAAAACTCTTTCCGTAGTATCTGCAAGGGGATATTTGGACTGCTTTGAGGCCTTCAGTGGAAACAGAAATATCTTAACATAAAAATTAGACAGAAGCATTCTCAGAAACTTCTTTGTGATGAGGCCATTCAACTCACAGAGCTGAACCACTCTTTTGAAGGAGCAGTTTGAAACATTCTTTTTGTAGAATCTGCAAGTGCAAAGCCAAGAGAGCTTTGAGGCCTACAGTGGAAAAGGAAATATCTTCACATAAAAACTGGACAGAAGCATTCTCAAAAACATCTTTGTGATATTTGCATTCAACTCACAGAGTTGAAAATAACTTTTCGTAGAGCAGTTTTGAAACACTCTTTTTGTAGAATCTGCAAGAGGATATTTGGACTGCTTTAAGGACCTCGTTGGAAACGGGAATATCTTCACATAAAAACTAGACAGAAGCATTCTCGGAAACACCTTTGTGATGTGGGCATTCAACTCAGAGAGTTGAACATTTCTTTTGATAGAGCAGTTTTGAAACACTGTTTTTATAGAATCTGCAAGTGGACATTTGGAGACTTTTGAAGCATATGGTGGAAATGGAAATACCTTCCCATGAAAACTAGACAGAATCATTCTCAGTACCTACTTTGTTAGGTTTGCATTCAACTCACAGAGATGGACATACCTTTTCATAGAGCAGTTTTGGAAAACTCTTTTGGTAGAATATGCAAATGGATAATTGGAACGCTTTCAGGCCTTCGTTGGAAATGTGAATATCTTCAAATAAAAACTAGACAAAAGCATTCTCAGAAACTTCTTTGTGATGTGGGCATTCAACTCACAGTACTTGAACCTTTCTTTTCATAGACCAGTCTTGAAACACTCTTTTTGAAGAATCTGCAAGTGGACATTTGGAGAGCTTTGAGGCCTATGGTGAGAAAGAAAATATCTTCACATAAAAACCAGACAGAAGCATTCTGAGAAACTTCTTTGTGCTGTTTGCATTCAACTCACAAAGTTGAAAATACCTTTTCATAGAGGAGTTTTGAAACACTCTTTTCGTAGAATCTGCAAGTGGATATTTGGACTGCTTTTAGGTTTTCTTTGGAAACAGGAATATCTTTACATAAAAACTAGACAGATGCATTCTCAGAAAGTTCTTTGTGATGTGTGCATTCAAATCACAGATTTGAACATACCTTGTCATAGAGCAGTTTTGAAACACTCGTTTCGTAGAATCTGCAAGTGGATATTTGGACTGCTTTGAGGCCTTCGTCGGAAACGGGAATATCTTCACATAAGAACTAGACAGAAGAATTCTGGGAAATTTCTTTGTGATGTGTGCATTCAACTCACAGAAGTTGAACCTTTCTGTTGATAGAGCAGTTTGGAAACACTCTTTTCGCAAAATCTGCAAAGTGGATATTTGTACTGCTTAGAGGCCTTCGTTGGAAACGGGAATATCTCCACATAAAAACTAGACAGAAGCATTCTCAGAAACTTCTTTGTGATCTGCACATTCAACACAAAGAGTTGAATCTTCCTTTTGATAGAGCAGTTTTTAAACACTCTTTTTGTAGAATCTGCAAGTGGACATTTGGAAAGCTTTGAGGCCTGTGGTGGAAAAGGAAATACCTTCACATAAAAACCAGATGGAAGCATTCTCAGAAACTTCTTTGTATTGTTTGCATTCAACCCACAGAGTTGAACATACCTTTTCACAGAGCAGTTTTGAAACACTCTTTTTGTAGAATCTGTAAGTTGATATATGGAGTGCTTTGAGGCCTTCTTTGTAAACGGGAATATCTTCACATAAAAACTAGACAGAAGCATTCTCAGAGCCGTCTTTGTGATGTGTGCATTCAACTTACAGAGCTGAACCTTTCTTTTGATAGAGCTGTTTTGAAGCACTGTTTTTTTAGAATCTGCAAGTGGATATATTGAGTGCTTTGAGGCCTTCTTTGTAAACGGGAATATCTTCACATAAAAACTAGAGAGAAGCATTCTCAGAGCCTTCTTTGTGATGTGTGCATTCAACTCACAGAGCTGAACCTTTCTTTTGATAGAGCTGTTTTGAAGCACTGTTTTTTTAGAATCTGCATGTGGAAATTTTCAGAGCTTCGAGGCCTGTGGTGGAGAAGGAAATATCTTCACATAAAAACTAGACAGAAGGATTCTCAGAAACTTCTTTGTGATGGTTGCATTCAACTCACAGAATTAAACATACCTTTTCATAGAGAAGTTTTGAAACACACTTTTCGTAGAATCTGCAAATGGATATTTGGACGGCTTTGAGGCCTTCGTTGGAAATGGGAAAATCTTCACATAAAAACGAAACAGAAGCATTCTCAGAAACTTCTTTGTGATGTGTGAATTCAACTCTCAGAGTTGAAGCTTTCTATTGATAGAGCAGTTTTGAAAAACCGTTTTTGTAGAATCTGCCAGTGGACATTTGGAGAGCTTTGAGGCCTACGGTGGAAAAGGAAATATCTTCACATAAAAACCAGACACAAAGATTCTCAGAAACTTCTTTGTGACGTTTGCATTCAACTCACAGAGTTGAACACACCTTTTCATAGAGCTGTTTTGAAGCACTCTTTTCGTAGAATCTGCAAGTGTATATTTGGAATGCTTTGAGGCCTTCATTGTAAACGAGAATATCTTCACATGAAAACGAGACAGAAGCATTCTCAGCAACGACTTTGTGATGATTGCATTCAACTCACTGTGTTAACCTTTATTTTGATAGGGCAGTTTTGAAACACTGTTTTTGTAGCATCTGCAAGTGGTGATTTGGAGAGCTTTGAGGCCTATGGTGGAAAAGGAAATATCTTCACATAAAAACAGGACAGAAGCATTTTCAGAATCTCCGCTGTGATGTTTGCATTGAACTCACAGAGTTGAACGTCCCTTTTCATAGAGCAGTTTTGAAACACTCTTCGTAGAATCTGCCAGTGGATATTTGGACTGATTGGAGGCCTTTGTTGGACACGGGAATATCTTCATATAAAAACTAGAAAGA
>NC_000013.11:16249397-16256067 GCF_000001405.40 Homo sapiens
AGCATTCATAGAAACTTCTTTGTGATGTATGCATTCAACTCACAGAGTTGAAACTATCTTATTATTGAGCAGTTTTGAATCTCTCTTTTTGCAGAATCTGCAACTGGATATTTGGAGCGCTTTGAGGCCTACCGTGGAAAAGCAAATATCTTCAGATAAAAGCTACACAGAAGCTTTCTGAGAAACTTTTTTGCGATGTGTGCATTCAACTCACAGAGTTGAAACTTTCTTTTGATTGAGCAGATTTGAAACACTCTTTTTGTAGAAACTGTAAGTTGATATTTGGAGCCCTTTGAGGCCTATTGTGGAAAAGGAAATATCTTCACGTAAAAACTACATAGAACCATTCTGAGATACTTCTTTTTGATGTTTGCATTCATCTCACAGTGTTGAAAGTTTCTTTTGATTGAGCAGTTTTGAAACACTCTTTTTGTAGAATCTGCAAGTGAATAATTGGAGCCCTTTGAGGGCTATGGTAGAAAAGGAAATATCTTCAAATAAGAACTACAAAGAAACATTCTCAGAAACTTATTTGTGATGTGAGCATTCAACTCACAGACCTGAACATATCTTTTGATTTAGCACTTTTGAATTTCTCTTTTTGTAGAATTTGCAAGTGGATATTTGGAGCGCTGTGAGACCTACTGTGGGAAATGAAATATGTTCACATAAAAACTACTCAGAACCATTCTGAGAAACTTCTTTGTGTCGTGTGCATTCGACTCACAGAGTTGAACATATGTCCTCTTTGAGCAGTTTTGCGTCTCTCTTTTTGTAGAATGTACAAGTGGATATTTGGAGCCCATTGTGTCCTATGGTGGAAAAGGAAATATCTTCAGATAAAAATTACACAGAAGAATTCTGAGAAACTTCTTTGTGATATGTGCATTTATCTCACAGGTTTGAACCTACCGTTTTATTGAGCAGTTTTGAAACACTGTTTTTGTAGAATCTGCAAGTGGATATTTAGAGGGAATTGAGGCCTACCGTGGAAAAGCATATACCTACAAACAAAAACTAAACAGAAGCATTCTGAGAAACTTCTTAGTGATGTGTGCATTCGTCTCACAGAGTTGAAACTTTCCTTTGATTGAGCAGTTTTGAAACACTCTTTTTGTAGAATCTGCAACTGGATATTTGGAGCCCTTTGAGGAATATTGTGGAAAAGGAAATATCTTCACATAAAAACTACACAGAAGCATTCTGAGAAACTTCTTTATGAGGAGTCCATTCAACCCACAGAGTTAAACTTTTCTTCTCATTGAGCAGTTTTGAATCTCTCTATTTGTAGAATCTGCAAGTGGATATTTGCTGCCCTTTGAGGCATACTGAGGAAAAGCAAATATCTTCATATAAAAACTACACAGAAGCATTCTGAGAAACTTCTTTGGGATGTGTGCATTCAACTCACAGAGTTGAACCTATCTTTTGATTGAGCAGATTTGAATCTCTCTTTTGGCAGAAACTGCAAGTAGATATTTGGAGCCATTTGCGGCCTTTTGTGGAAAAAGAAATATTTTCAAATAAAAACTAAACAGAAACATACTGAGAAACTTCTTTGTGATGTGTGCATTCATCTCACAGGGTTGAAACTATCTTATGATTGAGCAGTTTTGAAACACTCTTTTTGTAGAATCTGCAACTGGATATTTGGAGCCCTTTGAGGGCTATTGTGGAAAAGTAAATATCTTCACATAAAAACTATTCAGGAGCATTCTGATAAACTTCTTTGTGATGTATGCATTCAACTCACAGACTTGAACCTATCTTAAGAATGAGCAGTTTTGAATCTCTCTTTTTGCAGAATCTGCAACTGGATATTTTGAGGGCCTTAAGGCCTACCGTGGAAAAGCAATTATCTTCAGATTAAAACTACACAGAAGCATTCAGAGAAACATCTTTGTGATGTTTGCATTCATCTCACAGAGTTAAAACTTTCTCTTGATGGAGCAGTTTTGAAACACTCTTTTTGTAGAATCTGCAAGTGGATATTTGGAGCCCTTTGAGGCCTGTTGTGGAAAAGGAAATATCTTCCCATGAAAACTACATAGAAGTATTCTGAGAAACTTCTTTGCAATGTGTGCATTCAACTCACAAGAGTTGAACCTATCTTTTGATTGAGGATTTTTGAATCTTTCTTTTTGCAGAATCTGCAAGTGTATGTTTGCAAAGCTTTGTGGCCTATTGTGGAAAAGGAAATGTCTTCACATAAAAACTACACATAAATATTCTGGGAAAGTTCTTTGTGGTGCGTGCATTCATGTCATAGAGTTGAAACTTTCTTTTGATGGAGCAGTTTTGAAACACTCTTTTTGTACAATCTGCTAGTGGATAATTGGAGCCCTTTGAGGACTATTGTGGAAAAGGAAATATCTTCAAATAAAAACTACACAGAAGCATTCTGATAAACTTCTTTCTGATGTGTGCATTCAACTCACAGAGTTGAACCTATATTTTGATTGAGCAGTTTAGAAGCTCTCTTTTTGCAGAATCTGCAAGTGGATGTTTGGAGAGCTTTGAAACCTATTATGGAAAAGCAAATATCTTCACATAAAAACTACACAGAAGCATTCTGAGAAACTTCTCTGTGAGGTGTGCACTCAACCCACAGAGTTTAACTTATTTTCTCATTGAGCAGTTTTGAATCTCTCTTTTTATAAAATCTGCAGGTAGATATTTGGAGCTCTTTGAGCCCCATGGTGGAAAAGGAGATATCTTCAAATAAAAACTACACAGAAGCATTCATAGAAATTTCTTTGTGATGTATGCATTCAACTCACAGAGTTGAAACTATCTTATTATTGAGCAGTTTTTAATCTCTCTTTTGCAGAATCTGCAAGTGGATATTTGGAGCGCTTTGAGGCCTACTGTGGAAAAGCAAATAACTTCAGATAAAAGCTACACAAAAGCTTTCTGAGAAACTTTTTTGCGATGTGTGCATTCAACTCACAGAGTTGAAACTTTCTTTTGATTGAGCAGATTTGAAACACTCTTTTTGTAGAAACTGTAAGTTGATATTTGGAGCCCTTTGAGGCCTATTGTGGAAAAGGAAATATCTTCACATAAAAACTACATAGAATCATTCTGAGATACTTCTTTGTGATGCTTGCATTCATCTAACAATGTTGAAACTTTCTTTTCATTGAGCAGTTTTGAAACACTCTTTTTGTAGAATCTGCAAGTGGAATAATTGGATCCCTTTGCGCCCTGTGGTGGAGAAGGAAATATCTTCAAATAAGAACTACACAGAAACATTCTCAGAAACTTATTTGTGATGTGTGCATTCAACTCACAGGGCTGAACATATCTTTTGATTTAGCAGTTTTGAATTTCTCTTTTGGCAGAATCTGCAAGGGGATGTTTGGAGAGCTTTCAGGCATATTGTGGAAAGGGAAATATTTTCACATAAAAACTACACAGAACCATTCTGAGAAACTTCTTTGTGTCGTGTGCATTCAACTCACAGAGTTGAACATATGTCCTCTTTGAGCAGTTTTGCGTCTCTCTTTTTGTAGAATGTACAAGTGGATATTTGGAGCCCATTGTGTCCTATGGTGGAAAAGGAAATATCTTCAGATAAAAATTACACAGAAGAATTCTGAGAAACTTCTTTGTGATATGTGCATTTATCTCACAGGTTTGAACCTACCGTTTTATTGAGCAGTTTTGAAACACTGTTTTTGTAGAATCTGCAAGTGGATATTTAGAGGGAATTGAGGCCTACCGTGGAAAAGCATATACCTACAAACAAAAACTAAACAGAAGCATTCTGAGAAACTTCTTAGTGATGTGTGCATTCGTCTCACAGAGTTGAAACTTTCCTTTGATTGAGCAGTTTTGAAACACTCTTTTTGTAGAATCTGCAACTGGATATTTGGAGCCCTTTGAGGAATATTGTGGAAAAGGAAATATCTTCACATAAAAACTACACAGAAGCATTCTGAGAAACTTCTTTATGAGGAGTCCATTCAACCCACAGAGTTAAACTTTTCTTCTCATTGAGCAGTTTTGAATCTCTCTATTTGTAGAATCTGCAAGTGGATATTTGCTGCCCTTTGAGGCATACTGAGGAAAAGCAAATATCTTCATATAAAAACTACACAGAAGCATTCTGAGAAACTTCTTTGGGATGTGTGCATTCAACTCACAGAGTTGAACCTATCTTTTGATTGAGCAGATTTGAATCTCTCTTTTGGCAGAAACTGCAAGTAGATATTTGGAGCCATTTGCGGCCTTTGGTGGAAAAAGAAATATTTTCAAATAAAAACTAAACAGAAACATTCTCAGAAACTTATTTGTGATGTGTGCATTCAACTCACAGGGCTGAACATATCTTTTGATTTAGCAGTTTTGAATTTCTCTTTTTGTAGAATTTGCAAGTGGATATTTGGAGCACTGTGAGACCTACTGTGGGAAATGAAATATGTTCACATAAAAACTACTCAGAAGCATTCTGAGAAACTACTTTGTGATGTGTGCATTCAACTCACAGAGTTGAACCTATCTTTTGATCGAGCAGTTTTGAATCTCTCTTTTTGCAGAATCTGCAAGCGGATGTTTGGAGAACGTTGAGGCTTATTATGTAAAAGGGAATATTTTCACATAAATACTACACAGAAGCATTCAGAGAAACATCTTTGTGATGTTTGCATTCATCTCACAGAGTTAAAACTTTCTCTTGATGGAGCAGTTTTGAAACACTCTTTTTGTAGAATCTGCAAGTGGATATTTGGAGCCCTTTGAGGCCTGTTGTGGAAAAGGAAATATCTTCCCATGAAAACTACATAGAAGCATTCTGGGAAACTTCTTTGGGATGTGTGCATTCAACTCACAGAGTTGAACCTATCTTTTGATTGAGCAGTTTGGAATCTCTCTTTTTGAAGAATCTGCAAGTGTGTGTTTTCAAAGCTTTGTGGCCTATTGTGGAAAAGGAAATATCTTCACATAAAAACTACACATAAACATTCTGAGAAAGTTCTTTGCGGTGTGTGCATTCATCTCACGGAGTTGAAACTTTCTTTTGATTGAGCAGTTTTGAAACACTCTTTTTGTACAATCTGCAAGCTGATAATTGGAGCCCTTTGAGGACTATTGTGGAAAAGGAAATATCTTCACATAAAAACTACTCAGAAGCATTCTGATAAACTTCTTTCTGATGTGTGCATTCAACTCACAGAGTTGAACCTATATTTTGATTGAGCAGTTTAGAGGCTCTCTTTTTGCAGAATCTGCAAGTGGATGTTTGGAGAGCTTTGAAACCTATTATGGAAAAGCAAATATCTTCACATAAAAACTACACAGAAGCATTCTGAGAAACTTCTCTGTGAGGTGTGCACTCAACCCACAGAGTTTAACTTATTTTCTCATTGAGCAGTTTTGAATCTCTCTTTTTATAAAATCTGCAGGTAGATATTTGGAGCTCTTTGAGCCCCATGGTGGAAAAGGAAATATCTTCAAATAAAAACTACACAGAAGCATTCATAGAAATTTCTTTGTGATGTATGCATTCAACTCACAGAGTTGAAACTATCTTATTATTGAGCAGTTTTTAATCTCTCTTTTGCAGAATCTGCAAGTGGATATTTGGAACGCTTTGAGGCCTACTGTGGAAAAGCAAATAACTTCAGATAAAAGCTACACAAAAGCTTTCTGAGAAACTTTTTTTGCGATGTGTGCATTCAACTCACAGAGTTGAAACTTTCTTTTGATTGAGCAGATTTGAAACACTCTTTTTGTAGAAACGGTAAGTTGATATTTGGAGCCCTTTGAGGCCTATTGTGGAAAAGGAAATATCTTCACGTAAAAACTACATAGAACCATTCTGAGATACTTCTTTTTGATGTTTGCATTCATCTCACAGTGTTGAAACTTTCTTTTGATTGAGCAGTTTTGAAACACTCTTTTTGTAGAATCTGCAAGTGAATAATTGGAGCCCTTTGAGGGCTATGGTAGAAAAGGAAATATCTTCAAATAAGAACTACAAAGAAACATTCTCAGAAACTTATTTGTGATGTGTGCATTCAACTCACAGGGCTGAACATATCTTTTGATTTAGCAGTTTTGAATTTCTCTTTTTGCAGAATCTGCAAGGGGATGTTTGGAGAGCTTTCAGGCATATTGTGGAAAGGGAAATATTTTCACATAAAAACTACACAGAACCATTCTGAGAAACTTCTTTGTGTCGTGTGCATTCAACTCACAGAGTTGAACATATGTCCTCTTTGAGCAGTTTTGCGTCTCTCTTTTTGTAGAATGTACAAGTGGATATTTGGAGCCCATTGTGTCCTATGGTGGAAAAGGAAATATCTTCAGATAAAAATTACACAGAAGAATTCTGAGAAACTTCTTTGTGATATGTGCATTTATCTCACAGGTTTGAACCTACCGTTTTATTGAGCAGTTTTGAAACACTGTTTTTGTAGAATCTGCAAGTGGATATTTAGAGGGAATTGAGGCCTACCGTGGAAAAGCATATACCTACAAACAAAAACTAAACAGAAGCATTCTGAGAAACTTCTTAGTGATGTGTGCATTCGTCTCACAGAGTTGAAACTTTCCTTTGATTGAGCAGTTTTGAAACACTCTTTTTGTAGAATCTGCAACTGGATATTTGGAGCCCTTTGAGGAATATTGTGGAAAAGGAAATATCTTCACATAAAAACTACACAGA
>NC_000013.11:16256167-16259412 GCF_000001405.40 Homo sapiens
GGCATTCTGAGAAACTTCTTCGTGATGTGTGCATTCATCTCACAGAGTTGAACCTATCTTATGATTGAGCAGATTTGAAACACTGGCTTTGTAGATGCTGCAAGTGGATATTTGGAGCGCTTTGAGGCCTACTGTGGAAAAGGAAATATTTTCACATAAAAACCACACAGAAGCCTTCTGAGAAACTTCTTTGTGATGTGTCCATTCAACTCACTGCCTTGAACCTATCTTTTGATTGAGCAGTTTCGGATCTCTCTTTTTCAGGAACCTGCAAGTGGATGTTTGGAGCCCTTTGCGGTCCATGGAGGCAAAGGAAATATCTTCAAATAAAAACTACACAGAAGCGTTCTGAGAAACTTCTTTGTGATGTGTGCATTCATCTCACAGAGAAGAACCTATCTTATGACTGAGCAGCTTTGAAACACTCTCTTTGCAGAATCTTCAGGTGTATATTTGGAGTGCTTTTTGGCCTATTTTGTAAAAGGAAATATCTTCACATAAAACCTACACAGATTTATTCTGAGAAACTACTTTTTGTTGTGTGTATTCATCTAACAGAGTTGTACGTTTCTTTTGATTGAGCAGTTTTGAAACACAGTTTTTACAGAATGTGCAAGTGGATATTTGGAGCGCTTTGGGGCCTACTGTGGAAAAGCAAATATCTTCACGTAAAAACCACACAGAAGCATTCTAAGAAACTTCTTTGTGATGTGTGCATTCATCCCACAGAGATGAAAGTTTCTTTTGATTGAGAACTTTTGAAACACTCTTTTTGTAGAATCTGCAAGTGGATATTTGGAGCGCTTTTAGACCTACTGTGGAAAAGGAAATATCTTCCCATAAAAACTACACAGAAGCATTCTGAGAAACTTCTTTGCAATGTGTGCATTCAACTCATAGAGTTGAACCTATCTTTTGATTGAGCAGTTTTGAATTTCTCTGTTTGCAGAATCTGCAAGTGGATATTTGAAACCCTTTGCAGCCAATGGAGGATAAGGAAATATCTTCAAATAAATACTACACAGAAGCATTCTGAGAAACTTCTTTGTGATGTGTGCATTCATCTCATAGATTTGAACATATCTTATGATTGAGTACATTTGAAACACTCTCTTTGTAGAATCTGCAAGTGGATACTTGGAGGGCTTTCAGGACTGTTGTGGAAAAGGAAATATCTTCACGTAAAAACTTCACAAAAGCATTCTGAGATACTTCTTTATGATGTATGCACTCAACTCAGAGAGTTGAACCTATCTTTTGATTGAGAAGTTTTGAAACACTCTGTTTGTAGAATCTGCAAGTGGATATTTGGAGTGCTTTGAGGCCTATTGTGGAAAAGGTAATATCTTCACATAAAAACTACAAATAAGCATTCTGAGAAACTTCTTTGTGATGTGTGAATTCAAGTCACAGAGTTTAACCTATCTTTTGATTGAGCAGTTTTGAATCTCTCTTTTTGTAGAATCTGCAAGTGGATATTTGGTGGGCTTTGAGGCCTATTTTGGAAAAGGAAACATCTTCACATAAAAACTACACAGAAGCCTTCTGAGAAACTTCTTTGTGATGTGTCCATTCAACTCACAGCCTTGAACCTATCTTTTGATTGAGCAGTTTCGGATCTCTCTTTTTCAGGAACCTGCAAGTGGATGTTTGGAGCCCTTTGCGGTCCATGGAGGCAAAGGAAATATCTTCAAATAAAAACTACACAGAAGCATTCTAAGAAACTTCTTTGTGATGTGTGCATTCATCCCACAGAGATGAGCAGTTTCAATTGAGCAGTTTTGGATCTCTCTTTTTCTCGGATTTGCAAGTGGATATTTGGAGCCCTTTGCAGTCCATGGAGGCAAAGGAAATATCTTCAAATAAAAACTACAAATATTTATTCTGAGAAACTACTTTTTGTTGTGTGTATTCATCTAACAGAGTTGTACGTTTCTTTTGATTGAGCAGTTTTGAAACACAGTTTTTACAGAATGTGCAAGTGGATATTTGGAGCGCTTTGGGGCCTATTGTGGAAAAGCAAATATCTTCACGTAAAAACCACACAGAAGCATTCTGAGAAACAACTCTGTGATGTGTGCATTCATCCCACAGAGTTGAAAGTTTCTTTTGATTGAGAACTTTTGAAACACTCTTTTTGTAGAATCTGCAAGTGGATATTTGGAGTGCTTTTAGACCTATTGTGGAAAAGGAAATATCTTCCCATAAAAACTACACAGAAGCATTCTGAGAAACTTCTTTGTGATGTGTGCATTCATCTCATAGAGTTGAACGTATCTTTTGATTGAACAGTTTTGAATTTCTCTTTTTGCAGAATCTGCAAGTGGATATTTGAAGCCCTTTGCAGCCAATGGAGGATAAGGAAATATCTTCAAATAAATACTACACAGAAGCATTCTGAGAAACTTCTTTGTGATGTGTGCATTCATCTCATAGATTTGGACATATCTTATGATTGAGTACATTTGAAACACTCTCTTTGTAGAATCTGCAAGTGGATACTTGGAGGGCTTTCAGGACTGTTGTGGAAAAGAAAATATCTTCACGTAAAAACTACACAAAAGCATTCTGAGATACTTCTTTATGATGTATGCATTCAACTCAGAGAGTTGAACCTATCTTTTGATTGAGAAGTTTTGAAACACTCTGTTTGTAGAATCTGCAAGTGGATATTTGGAGTGCTTTGAGGCCTATTGTGGAAAAGGTAATATCTTCACATAAAAACTACAAATAAGCATTCTGAGAAACTACTTTGTGATGTGTGTGTTAAACTCACAGAGGTGAACTTATCTTTTGATTGAGCAGATTTGAATATCTCTTTTTGTAGGAGCTGCAAGTGGGTATTTGGAGCCCTTTGAGGCCTATTGTGGAAAAGAAAATATCTTCACATAAAAACAACACAGAAGCATTCTGAGAAACTTCTTTGTGATGTGTGCATTCAACTCACAGTCTTGAACCTATCTTTCAATTGAGCATTTTTGGATCTCTCTTTTTCTCGGATTTGCAAGTGGATATTTGGAGCCCTTTGCAGTCCATGGAGGCAAAGGAAATATCTTCAAATAAAAACTACACAGAAGCATTCTGAGAAACTTCTTTGTGATGTGTGCATTCATCTCACAGAGATGAACCTATCTTATGACTGAGCAGCTTTGAAACAGTCTCTTTGCAAAATCTTCAGGTGTATATTTGGAGTGCTTTTTGGCCTATTGTGTAAAAGGAAATATCTTCACATAAACCTACACAGA
>NC_000013.11:16259512-16282073 GCF_000001405.40 Homo sapiens
GGAATTCTGAGAGACTTCTTTGTGATGCGTGTACTCATCTTACAGAGTTAAACCTTCCTTTTGAATGAGCAGATTTGAAACTGTCTTTTTGTAGAATCTGCAAGTGGACATTTTGAGCGCCTTGAGGCCTATGGTGGAAAAGAAAATGCCTTCACATGAAAACTAGACAGAAGAATTCTGAGAAACTTCTTTCTTATGTGTGCGTTAATCTCACACAGTTGAACCTTTCTTTTGATTGAGCAGTTTCAAACACTCTTTTTGTAGAATCTGCAAGTGGACTTTTGGAGCACTTTGTGGCCTACGGTAGAAAAGGAAATATCGTCACATAAAATCTAGACAGAAGCAATCTGAGACTTCTTTGTGATGTGTGCATTCACCACACATTGTGTAACCTTTCCCTTGATTGAGCAGTTTTGAAACTCTTTTTGTAGAATCTACAAGTCTACATTTGGAGTGCTTTGAGGCCTATGGTAGAAAAGGAAATATCTTCACATAAAAACTAGTCAAAAGAATTCTGAGAAACTGCTTGGTGATGTGTGCGTTCACCACACAGAGCTGAACCATTGTTTTGATTGAGCAGTTTGGAAACCCTCTTTTTGTAGAATATGCAAGTGGACATTTGGAGTACTTTGATGCCCCTGGTCGAAAAGGAAATATCTTAACTTAAAAACTAGACAGAATAATTCTGGGAAACTTCTTTCTGATGTGTGCGTTCATCTCACAGAGTTAAACTTTTCATTTTATTGAGCAGTTTGGAAACACTCTTTTTGTAGAATCTGCAAGTGGACATTTGGAGCGCATTGTGGTATGCAGTAGAAAAGGAAATGTCTCCACAAAAAATGTAGACAGAAGCAGTCTTATAAACTTCTTTGTGATGTGTGCATTCATTTCACAGATTTGAACCTATCTTTAGATTGAGCAGTTTGGAAACACTCTTTTTGTAGAATCTGCAAGTGCACACGTGGAGAGATTTGCGGCCAATGGTAGAGAAGCAAATATCTTCGCATAAACTCTAGACAGAAGCATTCTGACAAACTTCTTTGTGATGTGTGCATTCATCTCACAAAGAATTGAAACTTTCTTTGATTCAGGAGCTTTGAAACACTCTTTTTGTAGAATCTGCAAGTGTACATTTGGAGCGCTTTGAGGCCTATGGTGGAAAAGGGAACATCTTCACATATAGAACAGACAGAAGCCTTCTGACAAACTTCTTTTCAATGTGTGCGTTCAACTCAAAGATTTGAACCTTACTTTTCATTGAGCAGATTTGAAACACTCTTTTTGTAGAATCTGCAAGTGGACAATTGGACCGCTTTCTGGCCTATGGTGGAAAAGGATGTATCGTCACATAAAAACTAGACAGAAATCTTCTGACAAACTTCTTTGTTATGCATGCATTCATCTTTCAGAGTTGAACCTTCCTTTTGATTGAGCAACTTTGAAACACTCTTTTTGTAGAATCTGCAAGTAGTCATTTGTAGCGCTTTGGAGACTATGGCGAAAAAGGAAATATCTTCCCATAAAAACTAGACAGAGGCATTCTGACAAACTTCTTTGTGATGTGGGCATTCATCTCACAGAGTTGAACCTTACTTTTCATTGAGCTATTTTGAAACACTCTTTTTGGAGAATCTGTAAGTGGACTTTTTGAGGGCTTTGACGCACGTGGTGGAAAAGGAAATATCTTCATATAAAAACTAGACAGAAGGATTCTGAGAAACTTCTTTGTGATGTGTGCATTCATCTCACAGAGTTGAACCTTACTTTTCATTGAGCAGTTTTGAAACACTCTTTTTGTAGAATCTGCAAGTGGACATTTGGAGAACTTTGAGGCCTGTGGTGTAAAAGGAAATATCTTCACATAAAAACTAGACAGAAGCATTCTGACAAACGTCTTTGTGATGTGTGCTTTCATCTCACAGAGTTGAACATTTCTTTTGATTTAGCAGCTTTGAAACACTCTTTTTGTAGAATCTGCCGTTGGACATTTGCGGCACTTCAAGCCAATGGTAGAAAAGGAAATACCTTCACATAGAAAGTAGATAGAAGCATTCTGACAAACTACTTTGTGATGTGTACATTCATCTCACAGAGCTGGACCTTTCTTTTGATTGAGCAGCTTTGAAACACTCTTTTTGTAGAATCTGCAATTGTACATTTGGAGCGCTTTGAGGTCTATGGTCGAAAAGCAAATATCTTCACAGAAAAACTAGACAGAAACATTCTGAGAAATTTCTTTGTGATGTGTGCAATCATCTCACAGAGTTGAACCTTACTTTTGATTGTCTAGTTTTGAAAAACTCTTTTTGTAGAATCTGAAAGTGGACATTTGGAGCGCTTTGAGTCCTATGATGGATAACGAAATATCTTCATATAATAAATAGAGAGAACTATTCTGAGAAACTTCTTTGGGATGTGTGCTTTCATCTCACAGAGTAAAACATTCTTTTGATCGAGCAGTTTTGTAAGTCTCTTTTTGTAGAATCTGCAAGTGGACATTTTGAGTCCTTTCAGGCCTATGGTGGAAAAAGAAATATCTACAAATTGAAACTCGACAGAAGAATTCTGAGAAACTCCTTTGTGATGCTTGCATTCATCTAACAGACTTGAACCTTTCTTTATGATTGAGCAGTTTGGAAACCCTCTTTTTGTAGAATCTGCTAGCGGATATCTGGAGCGTTTTGCAGCCTATGGTGGAAAAGGAAATATCTTCACATAAAAACTAAACAGATGTATTCTGAGAAACTTCTATGTGATGTGTGCATTCATCTCACAGAGTTGAACCTTTCTTTTGATTGAGCAGTTTGGAAACACTCTTTTTGTAGAGTCTGCAAGTGGACGTATGGAATGCTTTGAAGCCTATGGTAGAACAGGAAATATCTTCACATAAAATCTAGACAGAGGAATTCTGAGAGACTTCTTTGTGATGCGTGTACTCATCTTACAGAGTTAAACCTTCCTTTTGAATGAGCAGATTTGAAACTGTCTTTTTGTAGAATCTGCAAGTGGACATTTTGAGCGCCTTGAGGCCTATGGTGGAAAAGAAAATGCCTTCACATGAAAACTAGACAGAAGAATTCTGAGAAACTTCTTTCTGATGTGTGCGTTAATCTCACACAGTTAAACCTTTCTTTTGATTGAGCAGTTTCAAAACACTCTTTTTGTAGAATCTGCAAGTAGACATTTGGAGGGCTTTGTGGCCTACGGTAGAAAAGGAAATATCATCACATAAAATCTAGACAGAAGCAATCTGAGACTTCTTTGTGATGTGTGCATTCACCACACATTGTTTAACCTTTCCCTTGATTGAGCAGTTTTGAAACTCTTTTTGTAGAATCTACCAGTCTACATTTGGAGTGCTTTGAGGCCTATGGTGGAAAAGGAAATATCTTCACATAAAAACTAGTCAAAAGCATTCTGAGAAACCTCTTTGTGATGTTTGTATTCATCTCCCAGAGCTGAACCATTCTTTTTATGGACAGTTTTGAAATACTCTTTTTGTAGAATCTGCAAGTGGACAATTTGAGCACCTTGTGGCCTCTGGTGGAAAATGAAATATCTTTACATAAAAACTAGACTGAAGCATTATGATAAACTTTTTGTGATGTCTGCATACATCTCACAAGGAGTTGAAACTTTCTTTTGATTGAGAAGCTTTGCAACATTCTTTTTGTAGAATCTGCAAGTGGACATTTGGAGTGCTTTGAGGCCTATGGTGGATAACGAAATATGTTCACATAAAAATTGGACAGAAGCATTCTGAGAAACTTCTTTGTGATGTGCGCATTCATCTCACAGAGTTGAACCTCCCTTTTGATTGAGCACTTTGGAAGCACTCTTTCTGTAAAATCTGCAAGTGGACAATTGGAGTGCTTTGAGGTCTATGGTGGAAAACGAAATATCTTCACATAAAAATTGGACAGAAGCATTCTGACAAACTTCTTTGTGATGTGTGCATTCATCTCACAAAGAATTGAAACTTTCTTTGATTCAGGAGCTTTGAAACACTCTTTTTGTAGAATCTGCAAGTGTACATTTGGAGCGCTTTGAGGCCTATGGTGGAAAAGGGAACATCTTCACATATAGAACAGACAGAAGCATTCTGACAAACTTCTTTTCAATGTGTGCGTTCAACTCAAAGATTTGAACCTTACTTTTCATTGAGCAGGTTTGAAACACTCTTTTTGTAGAATCTGCAAGTGGACAATTGGACCGCTTTCTGGCCTATGGTGGAAAAGGATGTATCGTCACATAAAAACTAGACAGAAATCTTCTGACAAACTTCTTTGTTATGCATGCATTCATCTTTCAGAGTTGAACCTTCCTTTTGATTGAGCAACTTTGAAACACTCTTTTTGTAGAATCTGCAAGTAGTCATTTGTAGCGCTTTGGAGACTATGGTGAAAAAGGAAATATCTTCCCATAAAAACTAGACAAAAGCATTCTGACAAACTTCTTTGTGATGTGGGCATTCATCTCACAGAGTTGAACCTTACTTTTCATTGAGCAATTTTGAAACACTCTTTTTGGAGAATCTGTAAGTGGACATTTTGAGGGCTTTGACGCACATGGTGGAAAAGGAAATATCTTCATATATCTTCATATAAAAAACAGAAGCATTCTGACAACCTTCATGGTGATATGTGCATTCATCTCCCAGAGTTGAACCTTAGTTTTGATTGAGCAGTTTTGAAACACCCTTTTTGTAGTATCTGCAAGAGGACATTTAGAGTGCTTTGAGGCCTATGGTGGAAAAGGAAATACCCTCATATAAAAACGAGACAGAAGCATTCTGACAAACTACTTTGTGATGTGTACATTCATCTCACAGAGCTGGACCTTTCTTTTGATTGAGCAGCTTTGAAACACTCTTTTTGTAGAATCTGCAATTGGACATTTGGAGCGCTTTGAGGTCTATGGTCGAAAAGCAAATATCTTCACAGAAAAACTAGACAGAAGTATTTTGAAAAACTTCATTGTGACGTTTGCATTCATCTCACTGACGTGAACCTTTCTTTTGATTGAGCAGTTTTGAAAAACTCTTTTTGTAGGATCTGCATGTGGACATTTGGATCGCTTTGAGGCCTATGGAGGAAAAGAAAATATCTCCACCTAAAAACCATACAGAATTATTCTGAGAAACTTCTTTGTGATGTGTGCATTCATCTCACAAAGTTGAACCTTACTTTTCATTGAGCAATTTTGAAACACTCTTTTTGTAGAATCTGCAAGTGGACATTTGGAGCACTTTTAGATCTATGGTGGAAAAGGAAATATCTTCACATAAAAACTAGACAGAACTATTCTGAGAAACTTCTTTGGGATGTGTGCTTTCATCTCACAGAGTAAAACATTCTTTTGATCAAGCAGTTTTGTAAGTCTCTTTTTGTAGAATCTGCAAGTGGACATTTTGAGTCCTTTCAGGTCTATGGTGGAAAAGGAAATATCTACAAATTGAAACTTGACAGAAGAATTCTGAGAAACTCCTTTGTGATGCTTGCATTTATCTAACAGAGTTGAACCTTTCTTTATGATTGAGCAGTTCGGAAACCCTCTTTTTGTAGAATCTGCTAGCGGATATTTGGAGCGTTTTGCAGCCTATGGTGGAAAAGGAAATATCTTCACATAAAAACTAAACAGATGTATTCTGATAAACTTCTATGTGATGTGTGCGTTCATCTCACAGAGTTGAACCTTTCTTTTGATTGAGCAGTTTGGAAACACTCTTTTCGTAGAATCTGCAAGTAGACGTATGGAATGCTTTGAAGCCTATGGTAGAACAGGAAATATCTTCACATAAAATCTAGACAGAGGAATTCTGAGAGACTTCTTTGTGATGCGTGTACTCATCTTACAGAGTTAAACCTTCCTTTTGAATGAGCAGATTTGAAACTGTCTTTTTGTAGAATCTGCAAGTGGACATTTTGAGCGCCTTGAGGCCTATGGTGGAAAAGAAAATGCCTTCACATGAAAACTAGACAGAAGAATTCTGAGAAACTTCTTTCTGATGTGTGCGTTAATCTCACACAGTTGAACCTTTCTTTTGATTGAGCAGTTTCAAAACACTCTTTTTGTAGAATCTGCAAGTAGACATTTGGAGGGCTTTGTGGCCTACGGTAGAAAAGGAAATATCATCACATAAAATCTAGACAGAAGCAATCTGAGACTTCTTTGTGATGTGTGCATTCACCACACATTGTTTAACCTTTCCCTTGATTGAGCAGTTTTGAAACTCTTTTTGTAGAATCTACAAGTCTACATTTGGAGTGCTTTGAGGCCTATGGTGGAAAAGGAAATATCTTCACATAAAAACTAGTCAAAAGAATTCTGAGAAACTTCTTGGTGATGTGTGCGTTCACCTCACAGAGCTGAACCATTGTTTTGATTGAGCAGTTTGGAAACCCTCTTTTCGTAGAATATGCAAGTGGACATTTGGAGTACTTTGATGCCCCTGGTCGAAAAGGAAATATCTTAACTTAAAAACTAGACAGAAGCATTCTGAGAAACTTCTTTCTGATGTGTGAATTCATCTCACAGGGTTGAACCTCTCTTTTGAAAGACCAGTTTTGAAATATGCTTTTTGTAGAATCTGCAAGTAGAATTTTCGAGAGCCATGAGGCCTATGGTGGAATAGGAAATATCTCCACATAAAAACTAGACAGAACTATTCTGAGAAACTTCTTTGGGATGTGTGCTTTCATCTCACAGAGTAAAACATTCTTTTGATCGAGCAGTTTTGTAAGTCTCTTTTTGTAGAATCTGCAAGTGGACATTTTGAGTCCTTTCAGGTCTATGGTGGAAAAGGAAATATCTACAAATTGAAACTTGACAGAAGAATTCTGAGAAACTCCTTTGTGATGCTTGCATTCATCTAACAGACTTGAACCTTTCTTTATGATTGAGCAGTTTGGAAACCCTCTTTTTGTAGAATCTGCTAGCGGATATCTGGAGCGTTTTGCAGCCTATGGTGGAAAAGGAAATATCTTCACATAAAAACTAAACAGATGTATTCTGAGAAACTTCTATGTGATGTGTGCATTCATCTCACAGAGTTGAACCTTTCTTTTGATTGAGCAGTTTGGAAACACTCTTTTTGTAGAGTCTGCAAGTGGACGTATGGAATGCTTTGAAGCCTATGGTAGAACAGGAAATATCTTCACATAAAATCTAGACAGAGGAATTCTGAGAGACTTCTTTGTGATGCGTGTACTCATCTTACAGAGTTAAACCTTCCTTTTGAATGAGCAGATTTGAAACTGTCTTTTTGTAGAATCTGCAAGTGGACATTTTGAGCGCCTTGAGGCCTATGGTGGAAAAGAAAATGCCTTCACATGAAAACTAGACAGAAGAATTCTGAGAAACTTCTTTCTGATGTGTGCGTTAATCTCACACAGTTAAACCTTTCTTTTGATTGAGCAGTTTCAAAACACTCTTTTTGTAGAATCTGCAAGTAGACATTTGGAGGGCTTTGTGGCCTACGGTAGAAAAGGAAATATCATCACATAAAATCTAGACAGAAGCAATCTGAGACTTCTTTGTGATGTGTGCATTCACCACACATTGTTTAACCTTTCCCTTGATTGAGCAGTTTTGAAACTCTTTTTGTAGAATCTACCAGTCTACATTTGGAGTGCTTTGAGGCCTATGGTGGAAAAGGAAATATCTTCACATAAAAACTAGTCAAAAGAATTCTGAGAAACTGCTTGGTGATGTGTGCGTTCACCACACAGAGCTGAACCATTGTTTTGATTGAGCAGTTTGGAAACCCTCTTTTTGTAGAATCTGCAAGTGGACAATTTGAGCACCTTGTGGCCTCTGGTGGAAAATGAAATATCTTTACATAAAAACTAGACTGAATAATTCTGGGAAACTTCTTTCTGATGTGTGCGTTCATCTCACAGAGTTAAACTTTTCATTTTATTGAGCAGTTTGGAAACACTCTTTTTGTAGAATCTGCAAGTGGACATTTGGAGCGCATTGTGGTATGCAGTAGAAAAGGAAATGTCTCCACAAAAAATGTAGACAGAAGCATTCTGAGAAACTTCTTTGTGATGTGTGCATTCATCTTACAGGGTTGAACCTCCCTTTTGATTGAGCACTTTGGAAGCACTCTTTTTGTAAAATCTGCAAGTGGACAATTGGAGTGCTTTGAGGCCTATGGTGGAAAAGGAAATATCTTCACTTAAAAACTAGACAGAAGCATTCTGACAAACTTCTTTGTGATGTGTGCATTCATCTCACAAAGAATTGAAACTTTCTTTGATTCAGGAGCTTTGAAACACTCTTTTTGTAGAATCTGCAAGTGTACATTTGGAGCGCTTTGAGGCCTATGGTGGAAAAGGGGACATCTTCACATATAGAACAGACAGAAGCATTCTGACAAACTTCTTTTTGATGTGTGCGTTCAACTCACAGATTTGAACCTTACTTTTCATTGAGCAGATATGAAACACTCCTTTTGTAGAATCTGCAAGTGGACAATTGGACCGCTTTGTGGCCTATGGTGGAAAAGGATATATCGTCACATAAAAACTAGACAGAAATCTTCTGACAAACTTCTTTGTTATGTGTGCATTCATCTTTCAGAGTTGAACCTTTCTTTTGATTGAGCAACTTTGAAACACTGTTTTTGTAGAATCTGCAAGTAGTCATTTGGAGCGCTTTGGGGCCTATGGCAAAAAAGGAAATATCTTCACATAAAAACTAGACAGAAGCATTCTGACAAACTTCTTTGTGATGTGTGCATTCATCTCACAGAGTTGAAACTTACTTTTCATTGAGCAATTTTGAAACACTCTTTTTGGAGAATCTGTAAGTGGACATTTTGAGGGCTTTGACGCACATGGTGGAAAAGGAAATACCTTCACATAAAAACGAGACAGAAGCATTCTGACAAACTTCTTTGTGATGTGTGCATTCATCTCACAGAGTTGAACCTTACTTTTCATTGAGCAATTTTGAAACACTCTTTTTGGAGAATCTGTAAGTGGACATTTTGAGGGCTTTGACGCACATGGTGGAAAAGGAAATACCTTCACATAAAAACGAGACAGAAGCATTCTGACAAACTACTTTGTAATGTGTGCATTCATCTCTCAGAGCTGGACCTTTCTTTTGGTTGAACAGCTTTGAAACACTCTTTTTGTAGAATCTGCAAGTGGACATTTGGAGCGCTTTGAGGCCTATGGTGGAAAAGGAAATATCTTCACAGAAAAACTAGACAGAAGAATTCTGAGAAACTTCTTGTTGATGTGTGTGTTCACCTCACAGAGTTGAACCGTTGTTTTGATTGAGCAGTTTGGAAACCCTCTTTTTGTAGAATCTGCATGTGGACATTTGGAGCGCTTTGAGGCCTATGGTGGAAAAGGAAGTATCTTCACATAAAAACTAGACAGAATTATTCTGAGAAACTTCTTTGTGATGTGTGAATTCATCTCACAAAGTTGAACCTTACTTTTCATTGAGCAATTTTGAAACACTCTTTTTGTAGAATCTGCAAGTGGACATTTGGAGCACTTTTAGATCTATGGTGGAAAAGGAAATATCTTCACATAAAAACTAGACAGAACTATTCTGAGAAACTTCTTTGGGATGTGTGCTTTCATCTCACAGAGTAAAACATTCTTTTGATCGAGCAGTTTTGTAAGTCTCTTTTTGTAGAATCTGCAAGTGGACATTTTGAGTCCTTTCAGGCCTATGGTGGAAAAGGAAATATCTACAAATTGAAACTCGACAGAAGAATTCTGAGAAACTCCTTTGTGATGCTTGCATTCATCTAACAGACTTGAACCTTTCTTTATGATTGAGCAGTTTGGAAACCCTCTTTTTGTAGAATCTGCTAGCGGATATCTGGAGCGTTTTGCAGCCTATGGTGGAAAAGGAAATATCTTCACATAAAAACTAAACAGATGTATTCTGAGAAACTTCTATGTGATGTGTGCATTCATCTCACAGAGTTGAACCTTTCTTTTGATTGAGCAGTTTGGAAACACTCTTTTTGTAGAGTCTGCAAGTGGACGTATGGAATGCTTTGAAGCCTATGGTAGAACAGGAAATATCTTCACATAAAATCTAGACAGAGGAATTCTGAGAGACTTCTTTGTGATGCGTGTACTCATCTTACAGAGTTAAACCTTCCTTTTGAATGAGCAGATTTGAAACTGTCTTTTTGTAGAATCTGCAAGTGGACATTTTGAGCGCCTTGAGGCCTATGGTGGAAAAGAAAATGCCTTCACATGAAAACTAGACAGAAGAATTCTGAGAAACTTCTTTCTGATGTGTGCGTTAATCTCACACAGTTAAACCTTTCTTTTGATTGAGCAGTTTCAAAACACTCTTTTTGTAGAATCTGCAAGTAGACATTTGGAGGGCTTTGTGGCCTACGGTAGAAAAGGAAATATCATCACATAAAATCTAGACAGAAGCAGTCTTATAAACTTCTTTGTGATGTGTGCATTCATGTCACAGATTTGAACCTATCTTTAGATTGAGCAGTTTGGAAACACTCTTTTTGTAGAATCTGCAAGTGCACATGTGGAGAGATTTGTGGCCAATGGTAGAGAAGCAAATATCTTCGCATAAACTCTAGACAGAAGCATTCTGAGAAACCTCTTTGTGATGTTTGTATTCATCTCCCAGAGCTGAACCTTTCTTTTGATGGACAGTTTTGAAATACTCTTTTTGTAGAATCTGCAAGTGGACAATTTGAGCACCTTGTGGCCTCTGGTGGAAAATGAAATATCTTTACATAAAAACTAGACTGAATAATTCTGGGAAACTTCTTTCTGATGTGTGCGTTCATCTCACAGAGTTAAACTTTTCATTTTATTGAGCAGTTTGGAAACACTCTTTTTGTAGAATCTGCAAGTGGACATTTGGAGCGCATTGTGGTATGCAGTAGAAAAGGAAATGTCTCCACAAAAAATGTAGACAGAAGCAGTCTTATAAACTTCTTTGTGATGTGTGCATTCATCTTACAGGGTTGAACCTCCCTTTTGATTGAGCACTTTGGAAGCACTCTTTTTGTAAAATCTGCAAGTGGACAATTGGAGTGCTTTGAGGCCTATGGTGGAAAAGGAAATATCTTCACTTAAAAACTAGACAGAAGCATTCTGACAAACTTCTCTGTGATGTGTGCATTCATCTCACAAAGAATTGAAACTTTCTTTGATTCAGGAGCTTTGAAACACTCTTTTTGTAGAATCTGCAAGTGTACATTTGGAGCGCTTTGAGGCCTATGGTGGAAAAGGGGACATCTTCACATATAGAACAGACAGAAGCATTCTGACAAACTTCTTTTCGATGTGTGCGTTCAACTCACAGATTTGAACCTTACTTTTCATTGAGCAGATATGAAACACTCCTTTTGTAGAATCTGCAAGTGGACAATTGGACCGCTTTGTGGCCTATGGTGGAAAAGGATATATCGTCACATAAAAACTAGACAGAAATCTTCTGACAAACTTCTTTGTTATGCATGCATTCATCTTTCAGAGTTGAACCTTCCTTTTGATTGAGCAACTTTGAAACACTCTTTTTGTAGAATCTGCAAGTAGTCATTTGTAGCGCTTTGGAGACTATGGCGAAAAAGGAAATATCTTCCCATAAAAACTAGACAAAGGCATTCTGACAAACTTCTTTGTGATGTGGGCATTCATCTCACAGAGTTGAACCTTACTTTTCATTGAGCTATTTTGAAACACTCTTTTTGGAGAATCTGTAAGTGGACTTTTTGAGGGCTTTGACGCACGTGGTGGAAAAGGAAATATCTTCATATAAAAACTAGACAGAAGCATTCTGACAACCTTCATTGTGATATGTGCATTCATCTCCCAGAGTTGAACCTTAGTTTTGATTGAGCAGTTTTGAAACACCCTTTTTGTAGTATCTGCAAGAGGACATTTCGAGTGCTTTGAGGCCTATGGTGGAAAAGGAAATACCCTCATATAAAAACGAGACAGAAGCATTCTCACAAACTGCTTTGTGATGTGTGCATTCATCTCACAAAGTTGAAACTTTCTTTTGATTGAGCAGCTTTGAAACACTCTTTGTAGAGTCTGCAAGTGGACATTTGGAGCACTTTGAGGCCTACAGTGGAAAAGGAAATACCTTCACATAAAAATTAGACAGAAGCATTTTGAAAAACTTCTTTGTGACGTTTGCATTCATCTCACTGACTTGAAACTTTCTTTTGATTGAGCGGTTTTGAAAAACTCTTTTTGTAGGATCTGCAAGTGGACATTTAGAGCGCTTTGAGGCCTATGGTGGAAAAGAAAATATCTTCACCTAAAAACCAGACAGAAGCATTCTGACAACCTTCATTGTGATATGTGCATTCATCTAAGAGAGTTGAACCTTACTTTTGATTCAGCAGTTTTGAAACTCTCTTTTTGTAGAATCTGCAAGTGGACATTCGGAGCACTTTTAGACCTATGGTGGAAAAGGAAATATCTTCACATAAAAACTAGACAGAACTATTCTGAGAAACTTCTTTGGGATGTGTGCTTTCATCTCACAGAGTAAAACATTCTTTTGATCGAGCAGTTTTGTAAGTCTCTTTTTGTAGAATCTGCAAGTGGACATTTTGAGTCCTTTCAGGCCTATGGTGGAAAAGGAAATATCTACAAATTGAAACTCGACAGAAGAATTCTGAGAAACTCCTTTGTGATGCTTGCATTCATGTAACAGAGTTGAACCTTTCTTTATGATTGATCAGTTTGGAAACCCTCTTTTTTAGAATCTGCCAGCGGATATTTGGAGCGTTTTGCAGCCTATGGTGGAAAAGGAAATATCTTCACATGAAAACTAAATAGATGTATTCTGAGAAACTTCTATGTGATGTGTGCGTTCATCTCACAGAGTTGAACCTTTCTTTTGATTGAGCAGTTTGGAAACACTCTTTTTGTAGAATCTGCAAGTGGACGTATGGAATGCTTTGAAGCCTATGGTAGAACAGGAAATATCTTCACATAAAATCTGAACAGAGGAATTCTGAGAGACTCCTTTGTGATGTTTGTATTCATCTTACAGAATTAAACCTTCCTTTTGAATGAGCAGATTTGAAACTGTCTTTTTGTAGAATCTGCAAGTGGACATTTTGAGCGCCTGGAGGCCTATGGTGGAAAAGAAAATGGCTTCACATGAAAACTAGACAGAAGCATTCTGACAGACTTCTTTGTGATTTGTGCATTCATCTCATAGAGTTGAACCTTACTTTTCATTGAGCAGCTTTGAAACACTCTTTTTGTAGAATGTGCAAGTGGACATTTGGAGCCCTTTGAGGCCTATGGTGGAAAAGGAAATATCTTCACATAAAAACTAGACAGAAGCAATCTGAGACTTCTTTGTGATGTGTGCATTCACCACACATTGTTTAACCTTTCCCTTGATTGAGCAGTTTTGAAACTCTTTTTGTAGAATCTACCAGTCTACATTTGGAGTGCTTTGAGGCCTATGGTGGAAAAGGAAATATCTTCACATAAAAACTAGTCAAAAGCAATTCTGAGAAACTGCTTGGTGATGTGTGCGTTCACCACACAGAGCTGAACCATTGTTTTGATTGAGCAGTTTGGAAACCCTCTTTTTGTAGAATCTGCAAGTGGACAATTTGAGCACCTTGTGGCCTCTGGTGGAAAATGAAATATCTTTACATAAAAACTAGACTGAATAATTCTGGGAAACTTCTTTCTGATGTGTGCGTTCATCTCACAGAGTTAAACTTTTCATTTTATTGAGCAGTTTGGAAACACTCTTTTTGTAGAATCTGCAAGTGGACATTTGGAGCGCATTGTGGTATGCAGTAGAAAAGGAAATGTCTCCACAAAAAATGTAGACAGAAGCAGTCTTATAAACTTCTTTGTGATGTGTGCATTCATGTCACAGATTTGAACCTATCTTTAGATTGAGCAGTTTGGAAACACTCTTTTTGTAGAATCTGCAAGTGCACATGTGGAGAGATTTGTGGCCAATGGTAGAGAAGCAAATATCTTCTCATAAACTCTAGACAGAAGCATTCTGACAAACTTCTTTGTGATGTGTGCATTCATCTCACAAAGAATTGAAACTTTCCTTGATTCAGGAGCTTTGAAACACTCTTTTTGTAGAATCTGCAAGTGTACATTTGGAGCACTTTGAGGCCTATGGTGGAAAAGGGAACATCTTCACATACAGAACAGACAGAAGCATTCTGACAAACTTCTTTTCGATGTGTGCGTTCAACTCACAGATTTGAACCTTACTTTTCATTGAGCAGATATGAAACACTCTTTTTGTAGAATCTGCAAGTGGACAATTGGACCGCTTTGTGGCCTATGGTGGAAAAGGATATATCGTCACATAAAAACTAGACAGAAATCTTCTGACAAACTTCTTTGTTATGCATGCATTCATCTTTCAGAGTTGAAACTTCCTTTTGATTGAGCAACTTTGAAACACTCTTTTTGTAGAATCTGCAAGTAGTCATTTGTAGCGCTTTGGGGACTATGGCGAAAAAGGAAATATCTTCACATAAAAACTAGACAGAAGCATTCTGACAAACTTCTTTGTGATGTGGGCATTCATCTCACAGAGTTGAACCTTACTTTTCATTGAGCAATTTTGAAACACTCTTTTTGGAGAATCTGTAAGTGGACATTTTGAGGGCTTTGACGCACATGGTGGAAAAGGAAATATCTTCATATATCTTCATATAAAAAACAGAAGCATTCTGACAACCTTCATTGTGATATGTGCATTCATCTCCCAGAGTTGAACCTTAGTTTTGATTGAGCAGTTTTGAAACACCCTTTTTGTAGTATCTGCAAGAGGACATTTCGAGTGCTTTGAGGCCTATGGTGGAAAAGGAAATACCCTCATATAAAAACGAGACAGAAGCATTCTGACAAACTACTTTGTGCTGTGTGCATTCATCTCACAGAGCTGGACCTTTCTTTTGATTGAGCAGCTTTGAAACACTCTTTTTGTAGAATCTGCAATTGGACATTTGGAGCACTTTGAGGTCTATGGTCGAAAAGCAAATATCTTCACAGAAAAACTAGACAGAAGTATTTTGAAAAACTTCATTGTGACGTTTGCATTCATCTCACTGATGTGAACCTTTCTTTTGATTGAGCAGTTTTGAAAAACTCTTTTTGTAGGATCTGCATGTGGACATTTGGATCGCTTTGAGGCCTATGGAGGAAAAGAAAATATCTTCACCTAAAAACCATACAGAAGTATTCTGAGAAACTTCTTTGTGATGTGTGCATTCATCTCACAGAGTTGAACCTTACTTTTCATTGAGCAATTTTGAAACACTCTTTTTGTAGAATCTGCAAGTGGACATTTGGAGCACTTTTAGACCTATGGTGGAAAAGGAAATATCTTCACATAAAAACTAGACAGAACTATTCTGAGAAACTTCTTTGGGATGTGTGCTTTCATCTCACAGAGTAAAACATTCTTTTGATCGAGCAGTTTTGTAAGTCTCTTTTTGTAGAATCTGCAAGTGGACATTTTGAGTCCTTTCAGGCCTATGGTGGAAAAGGAAATATCTACAAATTGAAACTCGACAGAAGAATTCTGAGAAACTCCTTTGTGATGCTTGCATTCATCTAACAGACTTGAACCTTTCTTTATGATTGAGCAGTTTGGAAACCCTCTTTTTGTAGAATCTGCTAGCGGATATCTGGAGCGTTTTGCAGCCTATGGTGGAAAAGGAAATATCTTCACATAAAAACTAAACAGATGTATTCTGAGAAACTTCTATGTGATGTGTGCATTCATCTCACAGAGTTGAACCTTTCTTTTGATTGAGCAGTTTGGAAACACTCTTTTTGTAGAGTCTGCAAGTGGACGTATGGAATGCTTTGAAGCCTATGGTAGAACAGGAAATATCTTCACATAAAATCTAGACAGAGGAATTCTGAGAGACTTCTTTGTGATGCGTGTACTCATCTTACAGAGTTAAACCTTCCTTTTGAATGAGCAGATTTGAAACTGTCTTTTTGTAGAATCTGCAAGTGGACATTTTGAGCGCCTTGAGGCCTATGGTGGAAAAGAAAATGCCTTCACATGAAAACTAGACAGAAGAATTCTGAGAAACTTCTTTCTGATGTGTGCGTTAATCTCACACAGTTAAACCTTTCTTTTGATTGAGCAGTTTCAAAACACTCTTTTTGTAGAATCTGCAAGTAGACATTTGGAGGGCTTTGTGGCCTACGGTAGAAAAGGAAATATCATCACATAAAATCTAGACAGAAGCAATCTGAGACTTCTTTGTGATGTGTGCATTCACCACACATTGTTTAACCTTTCCCTTGATTGAGCAGTTTTGAAACTCTTTTTGTAGAATCTACAAGTCTACATTTGGCGTGCTTTGAGGCCTATGGTGGAAAAGGAAATATCTTCACATAAAAACTAGTCAAAAGAATTCTGAGAAACTGCTTGGTGATGTGTGCGTTCACCACACAGAGCTGAACCATTGTTTTGATTGAGCAGTTTGGAAACCCTCTTTTTGTAGAATCTGCAAGTGGACAATTTGAGCAACTTGTGGCCTCTGGTGGAAAATGAAATATCTTTACATAAAAACTAGACTGAATAATTCTGGGAAACTTCTTTCTGATGTGTGCGTTCATCTCACAGAGTTAAACTTTTCATTTTATTGAACAGTTTGGAAACACTCTTTTTGTAGAATCTGCAAGTGGACATTTGGAGAGCATTGTGGTATGCAGTAGAAAAGGAAATGTCTCCACAAAAAATGTAGACAGAAGCATTCTGAGAAACTTCTTTGTGACGTGTGCATTCATCTCACAGAGTTGAACCTCCCTTTTGATTGAGCACTTTCGAAGCACTCTTTCTGTAAAATCTGCAAGTGGACAATTGGAGTGCTTTGAGGCCTATGGTGGAAAAGGAAATATCTTCACTTAAAAACTAGACAGAAGCATTCTGACAAACTTCTTTGTGATGTGTGCATTCATCTCACAAAGAATTGAAACTTTCCTTGATTCAGGAGCTTTGAAACACTCTTTTTGTAGAATCTGCAAGTGTACATTTGGAGCACTTTGAGGCCTATGGTGGAAAAGGGAACATCTTCACATACAGAACAGACAGAAGCATTCTGACAAACTTCTTTTCGATGTGTGCATTCAACTCACAGATTTGAACCTTACTTTTCATTGAGCAGATTTGAAACACTCTTTTTGTAGAATCTGCAAGTGGACAATTGGACCGCTTTGTGGCCTATGGTGGAAAAGGATATATCGTCACATAAAAACTAGACAGAAATCTTCTGACAAACTTCTTTGTTATGCATGCATTCATCTTTCAGAGTTGAACCTTCCTTTTGATTGAGCAACTTTGAAACACTCTTTTTGTAGAATCTGCAAGTAGTCATTTGTAGCGCTTTGGAGACTATGGCGAAAAAGGAAATATCTTCCCATAAAAACTAGACAGAAGCATTCTGACAAACTTCTTTGCGATGTGTGCATTCATCTCACAGAGTTGAACCTTACTTTTCATTGAGCAATTTTGAAACACTCTTTTTGGAGAATCTGTAAGTGGACATTTTGAGGGCTTTGACGCACATGGTGGAAAAGGAAATACCTTCACATAAAAACGAGACAGAAGCATTCTGACAAACTACTTTGTAATGTGTGCATTCATCTCTCAGAGCTGGACCTTTCTTTTGATTGAACAGCTTTGAAACACTCTTTTTGTAGAATCTGCAAGTGGACATTTGGAGCGCTTTGAGGCCTATGGTGGAAAAGGAAATATCTTCACAGAAAAACTAGACAGAAGCATTCTGACAAACTACTTTGTGCTGTGTGCATTCATCTCACAGAGCTGGACCTTTCTTTTGATTGAGCAGCTTTGAAACACTCTTTTTGTAGAATCTGCAATTGGACATTTGGAGCACTTTGAGGTCTATGGTCGAAAAGCAAATATCTTCACAGAAAAACTAGACAGAAGCATTTTGAAAAACTTCTTTGTGACGTTTGCATTCATCTCACTGACTTGAAACTTTCTTTTGATTGAGCTGTTTTGAAAAACTCTTTTTGTAGGATCTGCAAGTGGACATTTAGAGTGCTTTGAGGGCTATGGTGGAAAAGAAAATATCTTCACCTAAAAACCAGACAGAAGCATTATGTTAAACTTTTTGTGATGTCTGCATACATCTCACAAAGAGTTGAAACTTTCTTTTGATTGAGCAGCTTTGCAACATTCTTTTTGTGGAATCTGCAAGTGGACATTTGGAGTGCTTTGAGACCTATGGTGGATAACGAAATATGTTCACATAAAAATTGGACAGAAGCATTCTGAGAAACTTCTTTGTGATGTGTGCATTCATCTCACAGAGTTGAACCTCCCTTTTGATTGAGCACTTTGGAAGCACTCTTTCTGTAAAATCTGCAAGTGGACAATTGGAGTGCTTTGAGGCCTATGGTGGAAAAGGAAATATCTTCACATAAGAACTAGACAGAAGAATTCTGAGAAACTCCTTTGTGATGCTTGCATTTATCTAACAGAGTTGAACCTTTCTTTATGATTGAGCAGTTCGGAAACCCTCTTTTTGTAGAATCTGCTAGCGGATATTTGGAGCGTTTTGCAGCCTATGGTGGAAAAGGAAATATCTTCACATAAAAACTAAACAAATGTATTCTGATAAACTTCTATGTGATGTGTGCGTTCATCTCACAGAGTTGAACCTTTCTTTTGATTGAGCAGTTTGGAAACACTCTTTTCGTAGAATCTGCAAGTAGACGTATGGAATGCTTTGAAGCCTATGGTAGAACAGGAAATATCTTCACATAAAATCTAGACAGAGGAATTCTGAGAGACTTCTTTGTGATGCGTGTACTCATCTTACAGAGTTAAAGCTTCCTTTTGAATGAGCAGATTTGAAACTGTCTTTTTGTAGAATCTGCAAGTGGACATTTTGAGCGCCTTGAGGCCTATGGTGGAAAAGAAAATGCCTTCACATGAAAACTAGACAGAAGAATTCTGAGAAACTTCTTTCTGATGTGTGCGTTAATCTCACACAGTTGAACCTTTCTTTTGATTGAGCAGTTTCAAAACACTCTTTTTGTAGAATCTGCAAGTAGACATTTGGAGGGCTTTGTGGCCTACGGTAGAAAAGGAAATATCATCACATAAAATCTAGACAGAAGCAATCTGAGACTTCTTTGTGATGTGTGCATTCACCACACATTGTTTAACCTTTCCCTTGATTGAGCAGTTTTGAAACTCTTTTTGTAGAATCTACAAGTCTACATTTGGAGTGCTTTGAGGCCTATGGTGGAAAAGGAAATATCTTCACATAAAAACTAGTCAAAAGAATTCTGAGAAACTTCTTGGTGATGTGTGCGTTCACCTCACAGGGCTGAACCATTGTTTTGATTGAGCAGTTTGGAAACCCTCTTTTCGTAGAATATGCAAGTGGACATTTGGAGTACTTTGATGCCCCTGGTCGAAAAGGAAATATCTTAACTTAAAAACTAGACAGAATAATTCTGGGAAACTTCTTTCTGATGTGTGCGTTCATCTCACAGAGTTAAACTTTTCATTTTATTGAACAGTTTGGAAACACTCTTTTTGTAGAATCTGCAAGTGGACATTTGGAGCGCATTGTGGTATGCAGTAGAAAAGGAAATGTCTCCACAAAAAATGTAGACAGAAGCATTATGATAAACTTTTTGTGATGTCTGCATACATCTCACAAAGTGTTGAAACTTTCTTTTGATTGAGCAGCTTTGCAACATTCTTTTTGTAGAATCTGCAAGTGGACATTTGGAGTGCTTTGAGGCCTATGGTGGAAAACGAAATATCTTCACATAAAAATTGGACAGAACCATTCTGAGAAACTTCTTTGTGATGTGTGCATTCATCTTACAGGGTTGAACCTCCCTTTTGATTGAGCACTTTGGAAGCACTCTTTTTGTAAAATCTGCAAGTGGACAATTGGAGTGCTTTGAGGCCTATGGTGGAAAAGGAAATATCTTCACTTAAAAACTAGACAGAAGCATTCTGACAAACTTCTTTTCAATGTGTGCGTTCAACTCAAAGATTTGAACCTTACTTTTCATTGAGCAGATTTGAAACACTCTTTTTGTAGAATCTGCAAGTGGACAATTGGACCGCTTTCTGGCCTATGGTGGAAAAGGATGTATCGTCACATAAAAACTAGACAGAAATCTTCTGACAAACTTCTTTGTTATGCATGCATTCATCTTTCAGAGTTGAAACTTCCTTTTGATTGAGCAACTTTGAAACACTCTTTTTGTAGAATCTGCAAGTAGTCATTTGTAGCGCTTTGGGGACTATGGCGAAAAAGGAAATATCTTCACATAAAAACTAGACAGAAGCATTCTGACAAACTTCTTTGTGATGTGGGCATTCATCTCACAGAGTTGAACCTTACTTTTCATTGAGCAATTTTGAAACACTCTTTTTGGAGAATCTGTAAGTGGACATTTTGAGGGCTTTGACGCACATGGTGGAAAAGGAAATATCTTCATATATCTTCATATAAAAAACAGAAGCATTCTGACAACCTTCATTGTGATATGTGCATTCATCTCCCAGAGTTGAACCTTAGTTTTGATTGAGCAGTTTTGAAACACCCTTTTTGTAGTATCTGCAAGAGGACATTTAGAGTGCTTTGAGGCCTATGGTGGAAAAGGAAATACCCTCATATAAAAACGAGACAGAAGCATTCTGACAAACTACTTTGTAAAGTGTGCATTCATCTCTCAGAGCTGGACCTTTCTTTTGATTGAACAGCTTTGAAACACTCTTTTTGTAGAATCTGCAAGTGGACATTTGGAGCGCTTTGAGGCCTATGGTGGAAAAGGAAATATCTTCACAGAAAAACTAGACAGAAGCATTTTGAAAAACTTCTTTGTGACGTTTGCATTCATCTCACTGACTTGAAACTTTCTTTTGATTGAGCTGTTTCGAAAAACTCTTTTTGTAGGATCTGCAAGTGGACATTTAGAGCGCTTTGAGGCCTATGGTGGAAAAGAAAATATCTTCACCTAAAAACCAGACAGAAGCATTCTGAGAAATTTCTTTGTGATGTGTGCAATCATCTCACAGAGTTGAACCTTACTTTTGATTGTCCAGTTTTGAAACACTCTTTTTGTAGAATCTAAAAGTGGACATTTGGAGCGCTTTGAGGCCTATGGTGGATAATGAAATATCTTCATATAATAAATAGAGAGAACAATTCTGAGAAACTTCTTTGGGATGTGTGCATTCATCTCACAGAGTAAAACATTCTTTTGATCCAGCAGTTTTGTAAGTATCTTTTTGTAGAATCTGCAAGTGGACATTTTGAGCCCTTTCAGGCCTATGGTGGAAAAGGAAATATCTACAAATTGAAACTCGGCAGAAGAATTCTGAGAAACTCCTTTGTGATGCTTGCATTTATCTAACAGAGTTGAACCTTTCTTTATGATTGAGCAGTTCGGAAACCCTCTTTTTGTAGAATCTGCTAGCGGATATTTGGAGCGTTTTGCAGCCTATGGTGGAAAAGGAAATATCTTCACATAAAAACTAAGCAGATGTATTCTGATAAACTTCTATGTGATGTGTGCGTTCATCTCACAGAGTTGAACCTTTCTTTTGATTGAGCAGTTTGGAAACACTCTTTTCGTAGAATCTGCAAGTAGATGTATGGAATGCTTTGAAGCCTATGGTAGAACAGGAAATATCTTCACATAAAATCTAGACAGAGGAATTCTGAGAGACTCCTTTGTGATGTTTGTATTCATCTTACAGAATTAAACCTTCCTTTTGAATGAGCAGATTTGAAACTGTCTTTTTGTAGAATCTGCAAGTGGACATTTTGAGCGCCTGGAGGCCTATGGTGGAAAAGAAAATGGCTTCACATGAAAACTAGACAGAAGAATTCTGAGAAACTTCTTTCTTATGTGTGCGTTAATCTCACACAGTTGAACCTTTCTTTTGATTGAGCAGTTTCAAACACTCTTTTTGTAGAATCTGCAAGTGGACTTTTGGAGCACTTTGTGGCCTACGGTAGAAAAGGAAATATCATCACATAAAATCTAGACAGAAGCAATCTGAGACTTCTTTGTGATGTGTGCATTCACCACACATTGTTTAACCTTTCCCTTGATTGAGCAGTTTTGAAACTCTTTTTGTAGAATCTACAAGTCTACATTTGGAGTGCTTTGAGGCCTATGGTGGAAAAGGAAATATCTTCACATAAAAACTAGTCAAAAGAATTCTGAGAAACTGCTTGGTGATGTGTGCGTTCACCACACAGAGCTGAACCATTGTTTTGATTGAGCAGTTTGGAAACCCTCTTTTTGTAGAATCTGCAAGTGGACAATTTGAGCAACTTGTGGCCTCTGGTGGAAAATGAAATATCTTTACATAAAAACTAGACTGAATAATTCTGGGAAACTTCTTTCTGATGTGTGCGTTCATCTCACAGAGTTAAACTTTTCATTTTATTGAGCAGTTTGGAAACACTCTTTTTGTAGAATCTGCAAGTGGACATTTGGAGCGCATTGTGGTATGCAGTAGAAAAGGAAATGTCTCCACAAAAAATGTAGACAGA
>NC_000013.11:17416484-17416824 GCF_000001405.40 Homo sapiens
ATAATTCTCAGTAACTTCCTTGTGTTGTGTGTATTCAACTCACAGAGTTGAAGGATCCTTTACAGAGAGCAGGCTTGAAACACTCTTTTTGTCGAATTTGCAAGTGGAGATTTCAGCCGCTTTGAGGTCAAAGGTAGAATAGGAAATATCTTCTTATAGAAACTAGACACAATGATTCTCAGAAAATCTTTTGTGATGTGTGCGTTCAACTCACAGAGTTTAACTTTTCTTCTCATAGAGCAGTTAGGAAACACTCTGTTTGTAAAGTCTGCAAGTGGATATTCAGACCTCTTTGAGGCCTTCGTTGGAAACGGGATTTCTTCATATTATGCTAGACAGA
>NC_000013.11:17416924-17417264 GCF_000001405.40 Homo sapiens
ATCATTCTCAGAAACTGCTCTGCGATGTGTGCGTTCAACTCTCAGAGTTTAACTTTTCTTTTCATTCAGCAGTTTGGAAACACTCTGTTTGTAAAGTCTGCACGTGGATATTTTGACCACTTAGAGGCCTTCGTTGGAAACGGGTTTTTTTCCTGTAAGGCTAGACAGAAGAATTCCCAGTAACTTCCTTGTGTTGTGTGTGTTCAACTCACAGAGTTGAACTTTCATTTACACAGAGCAGATTTGAAACACTCTTTTTGTGGAATTTGCAAGTGGAGATTTCAAGCGCTTTGAGGCCAAAGGCAGAAAAGGAAATATCTTCGTTTCAAAACTAGACAGA
>NC_000013.11:17417364-17418562 GCF_000001405.40 Homo sapiens
AATATTCTGGGAAAGTTCTTTGTGGTGCGTGCATTCATGTCATAGAGTTGAAACTTTCTTTTGATGGAGCAGTTTTGAAACACTCTTTTTGTACAATCTGCTAGTGGATAATTGGAGCCCTTTGAGGACTATTGTGGAAAAGGAAATATCTTCACGTAAAAACTACATAGAACCATTCTGAGATACTTCTTTTTGATGTTTGCATTCATCTCACAGTGTTGAAACTTTCTTTTGATTGAGCAGTTTTGAAACACTCTTTTTGTAGAATCTGCAAGTGAATAATTGGAGCCCTTTGAGGGCTATGGTAGAAAAGGAAATATCTTCAAATAAGAACTACAAAGAAACATTCTCAGAAACTTATTTGTGATGTGTGCATTCAACTCACAGGGCTGAACATATCTTTTGATTTAGCAGTTTTGAATTTCTCTTTTTGCAGAATCTGCAAGGGGATGTTTGGAGAGCTTTCAGGCATATTGTGGAAAGGGAAATATTTTCACATAAAAACTACACAGAACCATTCTGAGAAACTTCTTTGTGTCGTGTGCATTCAACTCACAGAGTTGAACATATGTCCTCTTTGAGCAGTTTTGCGTCTCTCTTTTTGTAGAATGTACAAGTGGATATTTGGAGCCCATTGTGTCCTATGGTGGAAAAGGAAATATCTTCAGATAAAAATTACACAGAAGCATTCTGATAAACTTCTTTGTGATGTATGCATTCAACTCACAGACTTGAACCTATCTTAAGAATGAGCAGTTTTGAATCTCTCTTTTTGCAGAATCTGCAACTGGATATTTTGAGGGCCTTAAGGCCTACCGTGGAAAAGCAATTATCTTCAGATTAAAACTACACAGAAGCATTCAGAGAAACATCTTTGTGATGTTTGCATTCATCTCACAGAGTTAAAACTTTCTCTTGATGGAGCAGTTTTGAAACACTCTTTTTGTAGAATCTGCAAGTGGATATTTGGAGCCCTTTGAGGCCTGTTGTGGAAAAGGAAATATCTTCCCATGAAAACTACATAGAAGTATTCTGAGAAACTTCTTTGCAATGTGTGCATTCAACTCACAAGAGTTGAACCTATCTTTTGATTGAGGATTTTTGAATCTTTCTTTTTGCAGAATCTGCAAGTGTATGTTTGCAAAGCTTTGTGGCCTATTGTGGAAAAGGAAATGTCTTCACATAAAAACTACACATA